>NC_000006.12:8393333-8544848 GCF_000001405.40 Homo sapiens | reverse complement strand
CAGTTTTTAGTTTTCTGTGATTTCTTGAAAAGTCTGCCAAGGAAACAAGTAGCATACTTTTTTATGTCTGCTTCAATTTGAGTCCATATACCATAGTTCTAGGGAAAATTGCACCCAGGATATTTTATTACCTGGTTGGTGAATTAAATAGATATAAATTCCCAGCAGATGTTATGCACAGGTATAGTTGCTGATTACCATTTCAAAAAGTTATAAACTAGCTATGGATGGTATTCTGGGATTGTGAAGAGGAGAGGAGAGGGTGTGTTTGTTTATTTGCTTGTTCTAACTTGAGTTTTAAAGGGTAGAGAGACTATGAAAAAAGCAAATGTTGAGTGTGTGACACAAAGACAATACTATTGCACCCTGAGATATAGAAGTTTCTCCAAGGAAATTATGACACAAGGTGCTTGATTAAATTTTGCAAATAACTGATAAAATGCAGCTATAGGCAGTATTAAATAGTTGCCCTTTCAAAAGTTTATTTGTATATTATTAAGAAATCAAAAATGCATAGTTCCAGTAAGAAACTGTACAGTATTTGCAATTGTTAAGTATCATACCAGGTAAATTTGGCTCACAAATACAAGTAAACCCCGTATTTCTCATATATGAGCATTTTTGTGCAGGATACATAAGATTATAGGAAACATAAGATTTTGAGTACATGATCCAATTGTCATTCCTTTCCATGAAATATAAGGGCTTCATGTATGTTTATTTCAATTCCCTATTCTTTGTTATAGGCTAATTTGAACTCAGTGTGCTGAGGCATATACAGGAAGCTGGGAATATTAATAAAGAAAAAGGAGGGACAAATTGAGTAACGCCCTCAGCATCCTGGTGTTCGCTATATAGACATTCAGTACTCTTGTTTTTGCTCACCAAATCTTCTCATGACAGCAATCTATCCAGGCCTGCTCGGAGCTCCAATTTTTATCAACTGCTTATCTTAATCAATCCAGCATGGCTGATGTCTGCTGGGTATTTTAAACAAAATCATGCTAACATATGAATATAGATTTAAGAAAGTTTAAAATACTGAAGAGTACTCTAATTTTTAAGAAAAGATTCCTTCGTAGCATAAATTGCTTTTCTAATTTGTTGAAATTTCTAAATTGTGCAAATTTAAAGAAAATGTTAAAGAAACATAGAGGTATAAAGGAAAGATATTTGACATTGAGAATCTAACAACCACAAAGATACTGCCAAGAAATCTACTCTGTCAGTTTCCCTAAGCTAGGCAAGATTTTGACAACCTTTTTGCTGTCTGCACATTTAAACCAACTTCATTATCCCCAACAGTTTTGGGGTCCATATATGTGTGATATTGTGATTTATAATAAGATTTATATATTTGATCTTCATCCAGTTTCCTGTCACACAACTTCTAAAATGCTTGGAATCTCAGGAGTGGTAAGAGTGTCTTTTGTATGTTATGGGATGACTGGTTGCTGAGAGGCCCTAGATAACCTCAGAATGATCGCTGGCCACCAGAAGACCAAGGCTTGATTAAAGAGTTGGAATATATAGTCCCATCCCCCAAATCCTGGGGAAGGGTAAAGGACTGAAGGTTAAGGTGATTGACAACAATGGTCAATGACTTAATCAACCAGGCCTACCTAATTAATCTTCCCTAAAAATCCAAAAGGACTGGGTTTAGAGAGCTTCCAGATAGCTGAATACATGGAGGTTCCAAGAGGGTGGTGTGCCTAGAGAGGGCATGGAAGCTCAGCAACCCTTCCCAAACACCTTGCCCTAGGCATCTCTTCCATCTGCCTATTCATTTATATCCTTTGTAATATCCTTTACAATAAACTGCAAACATAAGTAAAGTGTTTCCCTGAGTCCTGTGAGCAACTCTAGCAAACTAACTGAACCCAAGGAGGAGGTCATGAAAACCCCAGTTTATAGCCGGTCAATCAGAAACCAAGCCACAGCCTGAGGCTTGCAACTGTCATCTGAAGTGGGAGACAGGCTTGTGAGATTGAGCCCTCAACCTGTGGAATCTGATACTATCTCCAGGTAGATCGTGTCAGATTCGAATTGAATTGAATTGTGGAACACTCATCTGATGTCCACTTGGAGAATTCCTTGGTTAGTGAAGGGAGAAAACCCTCACACCTCTGGGGTCAGAAGTGTTGTGTTGGCTGCATGAGAGTAGGAAAAGGCACCCTGGCTTCTTCCTCTATCCAAAAGCGTGCATACTGAAAAGCAGGTGAAGGGAACAATCCTAGCAGTAGTCTCTTTTGTATGTAAATAATGTCATTCCAAAGGGTGGCAACATTGGCACTTTCAACATGATTTATTTTTAATAAATTTTAAAATGCTGAGAAACTCAATACTCAGGAAAGGGCATAAAATGGTTAATTTCCTGTAATCTACTGTTTTAACTGATAGAAAGCAAAATTTCAATAGTGTTGTGTTTTTATTAATGTAATTAAGCTTCCATGTATTTTATCATGAGAGAATTCCAGGTTCCTGACGAATCCTACAAATATACATATGACTACATCTGAAGTGAAAATTAAGAATCATAGTTGCAAAATTTATTTTTCTTTTTTTTCTATTATTTTATTGTTAAAATGGAGATGTGTAGAATAGGTCAAAAACAATTCCTGCTATTGCTTTTGCTATTTAGTTGGTGCACTGGTGAAAGAGGAAGAAGAGAACAGATTCTAGTTTGTTTACACATTTACCAAATACTGGACATTTGTTTTTTTTTTCCAGTTGGGATAACTTAGGAACAAAGCTACTATAAACATTTAGGTAGAGTTTTGGGGGCATTGCATGTGTGTGTGTGTTTGTGTGTGTGTATGTTTTCTTCTCTCTCATGTAACTGTGTAGGACCAGAACTCTTTGGTTATATGGCAAGTATATATTTAAGTTTATATATGTTGCTAAACAATTTTCCAAAGTGACTGTACCATTTCACATTACCATCAGCAATATGTGAGGGTTATAGCTGGTCTCCATCCAACCCGGCACCTGGTATTGTCTGCTACAGTATTTTGTTTTAACTTTAACTATTCTACCAGGTATGTTTTGGTATCTTATGGTAGCTGCAATTTGCATTTCTCTAATAAAAAATGGTGTTGAGCATCCTTTCATGTGATTTCTTGCAATCACTATCTGTAGAGTAATGAACTATCTTTTCAAATATTTTGCTCATTTTTGAATTAGGTTATTTTCTAATTATTGAGCCTTAAAAATTATGTATATATTCTATTAAAGACTGCTTCTCAGTTATATGTCTTATAAATATTTTCTCCAAGTCTATGACATTTGCTTTTTCATTTGCTTAACATTGTCCTTCAAAGAAAGAAAGTTTTCAATTTGAAGAAGTCCTATTTATCATTTTTTCCTTTTATGATTTGGGCTTTTTATTTTATGTCTATGAAATATTTCCCTAACACAAAGTCACAAATATTTCTCCTATGTTTTCTAGTTTAGTGTCTTATGCAGTTTTAAAGTTCTGGTTTTATATTTAGTTCTATTTTTCATTTCAAGTTCATTTTTTTATATATAGTACAAAGTATAGGTTGAGAGTGTCTGTTCTTATCTATTATATTTTCAACATTTCTTCAATCCATTTTCTGTTCTTCTCTCACTCTTTTCTTTATGGGATCCATTAAAGATATGTTAGATTATTTGATATTGTCCCACAGCTCTTGAATTTACCCTGTTTTCATTTCCCACTCACTTTTCTGTACATGTTAGTTTAGATTATTTTAAAGACTAATGCTTTCCTGATTTTTTCCTCACTAATATTTTCTTCAGCTATATCAAGTTACTGGCTGAGCTGTTCAAAGGCATACTTCATCTTTCATCTGTAGTAGTTTGTGTGTGCATACATGTTTGTGTTTGTGTTTATAATTCTAGCATTTCTCTTTTACTCTGTATTATAGTTTCTAACTCTTTGTTGAAATTTCACACTCCATCTTTTTCATTTTAAATCCTTTGACATTAATCACAGTTATTTTAAAATCTCTGATACTGCCAACATTTTGATCATCTCTGAGTCTGGTTCTGTTGACTGGTTTGTCTGTTGACAAGTGATTGTTCTCTGCCTTGGCTTCTGTGAATCTTATAACTTTCATTAAACATTGTGTGTAACAGAGACATTATGTGTAATAATTGGAACATTAGTGTAAGGATTTGAGTCAAACTAGTCAACAGTTGAGCTGTATTTGGGTTGTGAGGCTGCTATGATTATTGGTTTTGCACCATAGGCTTCAAATTCTTCTAGTGGTGGACTGCCATTGCCTTGAGCTTAGAATCAATGTTGGGTTGTAAAAGGCTTTCTTTGCATTTATCTTCTACCTACGCTTTCATCATCCCTCCACACATTGTCATTAAATGGTTATTTCTCCACCCTCTTGTGTTTCCCCTAGTGGTGGACCACTGCGGTTTGTTATTCTATGCTCTTGTATGCTCTTGTTTGCAAGTGGAGAGTTTTCTGGATATGATAACCTCAGACATGTGGCTTTCTTCTGCTATCCATGGTAGAAAAACTCTGACTTGTATCTCTGGTTAGCCTTAGGCAGAAATTTCCCCTAAATCAGCAGCAGCAGGCCTCTAATAATATAGATGTGGATATAGCCATAAGATTCTGGGAAAAGAAGGGTTTACTATCTCCCACTTACTCCAACCATGGAGTAGAATGTGTTTTACTTCTATGCCCAGCCAGATCAGCTGCTATGTATATTTGGCCTTACTCTGTTGCCACTTCCAGTCCTAGCTGCCTTCACAAAATAGTCCCTGGCCCTGGAAATTTTTGTAGGTTGTCTGATTTTTCTCTCCTTGTAGGATGATAGCAATAGTTTTAATTGTCAGTATTTATTTAAGTCTACTCTCTCACGTATTTTGTAATGTAATCTTCATATCTGGTATTTTTTTTCCTTTTTATTCCAATTCCTGAAGTCAATCAACTCTGAATTTCATCCTCTTTTTTGGAAATTTATTTTCTTAGTTTTCAAACTTCTAATTTAAGGTATATTTTTTCTGTATCCCCAAATGCTTTTTGGAGAATATTCAATTTAAGAAGTTGTATTATACTTCTCTTCTGCTTTGTGATTTTTTTGGGAGGGGAGAATATTCAACAACTGAAATTACTCAGATTTTCTATTTTCTTTTTACAGCAGTTTCATGTGAATGTGATCTGCTTTTTTCTAGTCCTTGTCAATGGGGTTACTAGTTCAAGAGTGCCCTCTTCTGTTAGTTTAATAAAATACAAATGCTTTAATGGGTAATGATAGAGAGGAGAGAGTATTGCCATTTTTTTCCAGTTTCTTTTCTGCAGGATCCTTAATTTCTTCACTCTTATTTCCTTCTTTGCCTTAACTGTGACATCTCCAAAAGCCACCACCTTTCCTATATATTTGATTTTTCCAAAGAGCAATGCTTCTCCAAGGATGTTATTGTTGGTCTGACTCTCTTTCAAGGCCCTTCCCTGTAGACAGAGCAATAAACTACCAAGTCCCAGCTCTGCGTTCAGAACTATGGAACTTATTCTTGGACTTTTTCTTACAGAATTAATTTCTGTGCTTGATCTAAGTGTCTCCACTCATCTATTCTTTTTCATGAAATTTTTTAAGACTTCTCTGCCTTTCTGCCCATACTCTCAGTGTCAGACACACTCTAGAATTTGGTTTATTATTCGACTTATAAGTAATTCCAAAGTGTTGATGTTTGTGTATCCTATAATGCTAAAAGTGTGGGGCCACCATAGCTTAATATATACTCCCAGTTTGTTATGTGTTCTTAGGCAGAAACTGTTTGGAGAAAAATAAAATCAGGTATTTATCATTAAATGATAGTATATACATAAAATTAAATATAGTATTAAAACACAGTGAATTTCTAATAAACATAACATGAATGAACCTCAAAAACATGTTGAGTTGAAAGTAGCTAGATACAAAGGACTATATATACTATATGTTTTTATTCATATGTTTTTAGAACATTATTGAAATTCTACAACAGGCAAAATCAATTTATTGTGAGAGAAATAAGATTTTTTTTTTTTTTTTCTTTTGAGACGGAGTCTCGCTCTGTCGCCCAGGCTGGAGTGCAGTGGCGCGATCTCGGCTCACTGCAAGCTCCGCCTCCCGGGTTCACGCCATTCTCCTGCCTCAGCCTCCCGAGTAGCTGGGACTACAGGTGCCCGCCACCACACCTGGCTAATTTTTTGTATTTTTAGTAGAGACAGGTTTCACCGTGTTAGCCAGGATTGTCTCAATCTCCCGACCTTGTGATCTGCCCGCCTCAGCCTCCCAAAGTGCTGGGATTACAGGCGTGAACCACCGCGCCCAGCCTAGAAATAAGATCAGTAGTTGCCTGAGATAGGCAGTAGATGGAATTCATTGCAAAGGAGAATGAGAAATTTATTGTAACTTGTGATGATGAAAATATTCTCTATCTTTACTGGGGTGATAGTTATGTATATGTATATATTTCTCAAAACTTTTCAAATGATACATTTAAAATGTATGTATTTTGTTGTATGTAAATTTTACCCCAGTTAATTTGATTTTTAATGAAACTCAATATATTGGCTAAATAGTAGGTTAGATAGAGATGAAGAGAGAATTAATAAGCTGAAAGATCAGAAGAGTAAAATATAAGAAGAAAGTAAAGAGACTTAGAAAACAAGCTGGGCATGGTGGCTCATGCCTGTAATCCTAGCACTTTGGGAGGCCAAGGGGGAAGAATTGCTTGAGTCCGGGAATTCAAGACCAGCCCTGGCAACATAGCAAGACCCCATCTTTACAAAAACAAAAATGAAAACAATTAGCTGGGCATGGTGGCAAGCACTTGCAATCCCAGCTACTCTGGAGGCTGTAGTAGGAGGACTGCTTTAGCCTGGGAGGTTGGGGCTGAAGTGAGTTATGATCTCACCACTGCACTCCAGGCTGGGTGACAGAGTCAGAAACCCTGTCTCAAAAAAAAAAAAAAAAAAGGCGGGGGAGAGACCTAGAAAATAGAAAAATAATATCCAATATACATCTAGCAAAAATTCCAGAGAACAAGAATAGGAAGAACAAAAGAAAAGCAACAAAGCAAAATGACTGAATTTTCCAGAACCAAAAGAAGAAATAAACTTTTATATGGCAAAAAGAAACACAAAGTGAGTAGGTTAATTTTTCTTCTTCATAATATATTGCAGTGGAACTGTAGAATTTCAAAAACAAAGAAAAAATCTATAAAGAAGGCAGAAAAACAGGATGTATTGAAGAAAAAGTTAAATAATGAGCAATATTCTTATCAATAAAAATAGTTGCCAGAAAACCACTGAAGCGCTGTTAACATAAAAGTTTATACCTAAATTATCACTCAAAACAAAGGCAAAAATAAATAAAAATTCACATGAAGACAAACTGAGAAAGTTTCCTATTCACTGTGAGTTGTTGAAAATTTTGCAAAAGATGTTAATTCAGTAAGAAGTAAGGAAAGCAAGTAACAATGTTGGGAAAAAATTAGAAAAAAAATAAGATGAAGACATTTTGTCACAGCCTTAGAGATATGATTAAAAAATAAAGTATGAGTCCAGGCGCAGTAGCTCATGCCTATAATCCTAGCACTTTGGGAGGCCGAGGCAGTTAGATCACCTGAGGTCAGGAGTTCGAGACCAGCCTGGCCAACATGGTGAAACCCAGTCTCTACTAAAAATACAAAATTAACTAGGCATGGTGGCACATGCCTGTAGTCCCAAATACTTGGAAGGCTGAGACCGGAGAATTGCCTGAACCCAGGAGGCAGAGGCTGCAATGAGCCGAGATCGCATCACTGCACTCCTGTCTGGGCAAGACAGAGAGAGACTCTGTCTCAAGGGGAAAGAAAAAGTAATTATCTGAAAAGGACCAGGAATTATATGATTATTTTTTAAAACTGAAAAGGAAGAAAGACTAGGAAGGACTCTGGGAAAAAATATGACATACAATAACATTAACTAAAGAATTTGTAAAGGCAATGGTGTCCTTGTAGACATAGCACAGTTTCTAAAAGCAGAATGCATATGTTCCATTCCTAATTTGTCACGTTCCAATGTTTTTACTTTGGGTAAGTTACTAAAATATCTCAATTTCCTCATCCGTTAAATGAAAATAGTGACAGTACCCATCTCAGAGGACTGTTGCAAGGAATAAATATAAACAGCTTTTCATGGAAGTTGTCATCATTCCTGGTTACTGATCATACTTAGGCATTTCGATTCTGAAAGCTAGTTGGAACTGAGTGGATTTCCTTTGACAGGTGTGTTTCCTCCCAATAATGAAGTTTCTAGTAATCACTTTGTGATCTTTTGCTAGATAGGACTTTGGATCCTTCACTTGACCGGCATGAGGCTCAGTTTGCTCATCCATACAACGGGAATAATGCTGTCCATCTTTCCATTGTTGTGATGCATAAATGAGTCAGTCAAAATGCATAACTAATAAAAAATATGAAGTCCCTATAATTACCTACATGAGTCAACATCATCCAGACATTTGCTCATATGATTCTCCTCATAACAAGCTCCTCTCCTCCCTCACTCGCCTCCTTGCTGTTGCAGGAATGTGCCCACACACTCCATAATCAGAACCTTTGCACTTGCTCATGTCCAAATATTGTCATGGTTGTGCTTCCATTCTGTTAGGTCTTACTCAAAAGTGATCTTTGCAATAAAGAATCTCTTGACTACTCTCTATTCTAAACATTTCATATCCATGTTCCAGCTTGATCTGACTCCAACATGCCATATATTGTACTTATACATCTTACATTTTTTCTTTCTTCCCTACTAGAATATATGCTTCATGAAAGCAAAGACTTTTTAACTTTGTTTTCTTTCACTGATGTTTCTCCATCACCTATAACAGTGCCGGGCATACCCTTGGCATTCAATAAATATTAACTGAATGAATCATTTAAAGGTTCTGTCAGACCCATCTTAGGTGTCTCCTCATATTTCCTTCACAGTTCCCAATTTCCAGACTCTTAGCAGCTTCCTCCACTCAGACCCTGCAATTCAAATCATGCCTGGGCCTTCCGGATAGCAGTTTTGGGTGTGCCAGGCTCTATCCATTAGCTGTCACTGTAGATCCATGCCTATAAGTCATTCCCGGACTTGGCTGAATCACCACATCCACACAAGATGTGAGATCTGGCATCTTGAGTGACCACCCAACAGGCCAGATTACGCAACTCAAAAAGACCAAGAAGTTAACTCCTCTCTGTGAGAAGAACTTTGAACAACAGGAAATGAGGGAAGAAGGGGAGATGCAGGCAGCTGTATTCCCACCCTTTCCTCACTCCTGCAGCTACTTAGTGATATGAATTCTCCTTGCAACCAGTCTGGAGATAAACCTTGGGCTAGGCCAACACATTTGCCAAGCAGCCTACTGTGTCTCTCTGTAGCATGTTCTGAAGCAAGAGCCAAGTGTGGTCACAACCCATTCACATTGCTTCCCATTGCTCCTTGCTTCATTTCTCTCCCTTCCGCTTTTTTCTCATTCTCATCATTTTGCCTGAGTTTTCATCTTCCAAATCAGGTGCCAGTAGTGTAATCATAGCCTCAGACTCTGTTTTCTGAAGAACCTGGGTTAAGAGAAGGTTTTTGAAGTTTCCATTCCTTTGGATTCAAGGGGCAAACTACATGAATTACTTAGTAGATGAGAATACAGTGATTGTAAGTCATGTCATTGGAGTCAAACTGAACCAAGTTGAATCTCAGTGGTACCATTTCCTAGCCACATGACTCTGGGCAGTTCACTTAATCTTTCAGATATTTAACATCTCATGTGTAAAAAGGAATAACGCACCCACCTCTTGCTGTTGTGATGACAAAATGACATAACACAGTACAATGTCTGACATGAAATATTTGCCCATAAAAGTGGTGAAACAGAAAAAGCCATACTACATTGATTACTCCTCACAACACAGTAAGGAGAGGAGAGGATTCAAAGTATGTTGAGCAAAAAAAGCTGTAAGCAATTTCTTACAATGTTGCAGAATATAGTGTCAATACACTTCCATACCAGCTCATAGGTGCAATATGATTTGTTCCTAGGAAACCAAGTGAGAGAATAAGAAATTATGGCAAATTCTGTACATCTGGTTAGCACTATGAAACACTTGTGATAACACTTTTTCATTTGAGGCTCCTAGCAACTCTGTGAGGTAGGCCTCCTCATTTTGCATTTATTTATATTGCAGATTCTTGTTACATTTAAGAGATGAAAAAAAAAACAATGCCAAGATTTACATTGTACATATTAGTTTGCACAGTAGTGTTAGCTGCTGTAACATGCTATCATTTCAGAACTCATAACTGTGGTCAATGGTCAGTGACCCCTTTCAACACAGATATTCATGACTTTTTGTGTCTTGTGGTTCTGCCCTCCTCTAAGGCCTCAAAATCCTCTGCCTTCAGGAAAACACGAAGAAAATGGGAGCATACATACCTGCGTCTTAACTGGTTTGGCCCAGAAAAGACATCCATCAGTTCTGTTCACATTCCATAGTCTTGTGGTTGCAGTTCTATGCAAGAGGTAGAGGGACATGGGGGCATGGGCTCTGGCAGGGAACATACTTGCCAGTCACCACTCTATGATATGAAAAGTGGCATGAAAGACTGATGGACAGTAAGCCATCTCTGGATGAGAAAGTCAGATGACAGAGTTAGTTCACCAACCAAGGAATTGTAACACTAGAGTTTGTGTTCTCTCTACTATGCCATATTGCTTCTCAGCATATATAAGCAGCTCCGTGACAACTCATCACAAAAACAGAAAATCAGACTGCATCCCTTCCTATTGTAGCCAGTTTTAATTATAAAATATGGTATTTGGTTTTTAATAAAAAGCAATATCACATTCCTATTACCTAGTTGCACACATTCTAATAAAACTGTAAGGTCTATAAATATATAGCTCATTTGAGGATATGAATGATGTCCAGGACATGGAATTTTTCATTCTAACAGCTTACAATATATTTTTAATGAACATGTCTAACAAAATAAAGAGAGGCAAAACTTGGAAAATTAAGACTAACCAATTATTGGTTTAGTTTTGGCCTGCTGTCTTGATTTCTCCTTAGCCAAAATATTTGGAGGTGAATTAGTAAACATGCAAACAGAAGAGAAAACAATAAAACACAAAGACAGTGCTCTCTATGATATGCTAAAGTTTATTTTAAAATGTCATTGTGGTTTACCCAATAGAAATTGAATCCATGAGGGTAGAAAACAAAATAATCCATTATTTTCATTTGAAATAGAAACATTTAGTTTGCAGCCAAATTTTTTACTTAAAAAGATGAAACAAATTCATTTTGTCTTAGAATTCAACATGTAGGCATATCTCAGAGTTATTACAGGTTTGTAGTCTAAACCACTGCAATAAGGGAATATTGCAATTAAATAAGTCACATGGGACCTTTGGTTTCCCAGTGAATATAAAAGTTATGTTTACACTATAGTCTATTAAGTGTGTAATAGCTATGTTTAACAAAATAGTATGTAGACCTTAATTTTAAAATATTGCTAAGAAATGCCAACAATCATCTGAGCATTCAGCAAGTCATAATCATTTTGCTGGTGGAGGGTCTTGCCTTGACATTCGTGGCTGACTGATCACGGTGGCGCTTGCTAAAGATTGGAGTTACTGTGGCAATTTCTTAAAATAAGACAACAATGAAATTTGCCACACTGACTCTTCCTTTCACAAAAAAATGTCTCTGTAGCATGAGATGCTCTTTGATAGCATTTCACCCACAGAATGGATGCTGTGTTAGCAGGCACGAAAACAACATGAATCCCCTTGTACATCTCCATCTGAACTCTTAGGTGACCAGGTGCACTGTCAAAGAGCTACTGCTATTAATATTTTAAAAGGCATTTTTTTGAGCAGTGGGTCTTGAGAGTGGGCTTAAAATATTCAGTAAACCATGCTATAAACAGATGTGCTGTCATCCAAGCTGTGTTGTTTCATCTACAGAGCACAAGCAGAGTAGATTTAGCATCATTGTTAAGGTCCCTAAGATTTTCAAAATGGTCAGTGAGCATTGGCTTCAACTTAAAGTGATCAGCTGCATTCGCCCATAATAAGAAAGTCAGCCTGTCCTTTGCAGCTTTGAAGCCAAGCATTGACTTCTCCTCTTTAGCTATGAAAGTCCTAGATGGCATCTCTTTCCAATATAAGGCTGTTTTGTCTACATTGAAAATCTGCTGTTTAATGCAGTCACCTTCCCCAGTGATCTTAGCTGATCTTCTGGATAACTTGTAGCTTCTACATCAACACTTACTGCTTCACCTTTTACTTTTATGTTATGGAGACGTCTTCTTTTCTTAAACCTTGTGAACCAACCTCTGCTAGCTTCATATCTTTCTTCTGAAACTTCCTAACGTCTCTTAACCTCCACAGAATTGAAGAGAGTTCGGGCCTCTGGATTAGGCTTGCCTTAAGGGAATGTTGTAGCTGGTTTGATCTATCTACACCTCTCAGGCTTTCCCCATATCAGCAATAAGCTTGTTTAACTTTCTTATCATTCATGTGTTCGCTGAAGTAGCACTTTTATAATTTCCTTCAAGAACTTTTCCTTTGCATTCACAACTTGATTAACTGCTATATGAGGCCTAGCTTTCGCCCTTTCTCAACTTCCAACACACCTTCCTCACTAAGCTTAATCATTTGCAGCTTTTGATGTAAGGTGAGAGATGTGAGACTCTTCCTTCCTTTCATTTGAACACTTAGAGGCCATTGTAGGGTTATTAATTGTCCTAATTTCAATATCATTGTGTCTCAGGGAGTAAGAAGTCACAAGAAGAGGGAGAGAGATGGGGGAATACTCAGTCAGTGAAACAGTCAGAACACACATAGCATTGATTAAGTTCACCATCTTATATGGGCACAGTTCATGGCACTCCAAAACAATTATAATAACAACATCAAAATCAGTGATTACAGATCACCATCACAGATATAATAATAATAATAATTTTGAAATATTACTATAATTACCAAAATATAATAGAGACACAAAATTTACACATGCTGTCAGAAAAATGACACCAATAGATTTGCTTGATGCAGGTTTGCCACAAACCTTCAAACTGTAAAAACACAATATCTGCAAAGTGCAATAACATTAAATATGCCTGTATTCATTGTCCATTTTTTCTTGTAATTTCCGCTCTAACCAGTAAAGTTAGTGTTATGAGAAAAAAACATATATTTATTTAAATGGCATTGACATACACTGAGAATTTTTAAACATGTTTGTTTCCACATGCTCCTTCCTCAGCCATATAGTCTTTGAAAAACAGAGGGATTTACGTAATGGTAGCATGGGCCACTTGTGTGGCATAAATATATACATTGCTAAGTAAACATTATATACACATATATACACATAAAATATATACATAACACTAAGTCTTGCTTATACAAGAGCTAAAGTAAAGAGTGCCTTCTGGCTCAGCTCAGAAAATGTAATTTCTATAATAAATCATTTTTGTCCTTATATCTTGATAGTCAAGGTCCACACAATAAGATAAAACTTTCACACACAGCAAGATAAAACTTTCTCTCTCTCACACACACACACCCACACACGCACACACACGCGCGCGCGCACACACACACACACACGGAAGCCAGGGATAGCAACACTATCAAAAAGGAAATGGATCCCAAAGCAGTGAATGCTAAATAGTCAAAAATCACCATTAAAAAAGTGTATGTTGCTGTTTCTTTTATTTAAGCCACTTGGTTTTCAACATTCATCAGAATAAGAGAGATGCTTCCGTTAGTTTTTTTATGGATGGTAACTAGATCTGCTTTCTTTAACAGTACAAGCCGGCCGTGTCTGGCAATGCGTGTCATTACTCTGATCAGCTGTAGGGGTCTAAAGGCTCCCTGTGTCTGTCTTTTGCTTATCGTTCTAAAGACACTAATCTCCAAATAAGAATCTGGTACTGTTAACCTTAGGTTTGAGCTTTTTAGTTCATCAGGAAAGAAAGGGCAGTGTTCAGAATGGTAGAGAAAATATCTACAGTTTATAAAGGAAAACAGAAACTGCTTTCCCAATGTAGCAAATCCTCATCATTAAAAAATCACTCACTCCAGAAGGAAAGGTCCATGGTAGAATACTGTTTTTACCTATCCTTTTTCACTTCGTCACCCAGAAGTTACCTATTAATAATGGCAGAGTCTCAGTTGAGAAAAATTCAAAAAATTGGGCAGAATTTTTAAAATTTTCTCTCCTATCCTTTCAGCTGTCTGCCCAGAATTTGACCGTAATTGGAAGCAAGTTCTATGTTTACAGCAATTTATCTTTCTACATCACCTGTTTCTAGGTGATAAATATGCCATTTTAAAATTAGTGTGGCATTTGTGCAGTTAATTATATGCATTAGAAATCACTGCAACAGGAATGTAATTTTCACCCCACACATACGAAAGCAGAAATCTTCCCTAAACACACAACTCCCATGCATTAAATTTCATAGCCAATTCTTACTAAGTGAAACCTTAAAAAAATAATTTCTGAGAAAAATAATTAAAACTTTGAAGAAACAGTAAACGTTACCAACTCCCCAAAATGCCTAGGAATAAGAAAGAGAATACAGTTTTCTTACAAATCAAAGATAATCACCTAGAAACCCCCAAAAAAGGCTGCTTCTTACCCTCAGGTAACTTAGAGCCTAAAGTGTGAAATTTTTAATGACTTATTTCAGGTTCAACTGTAAAGCTACATTTTAAATGTAACATAAACTTATCAATCCTATATTACTTTCCATCTTTGTTACTTTTAATAAATTACAGATAATTACTAAAATCTTCATATATTTTTCCTTCATCTCAAATTTGGATAAAACCTTTTCTCTATACCATTTGGCTATAAAGAATTTTAAAAGTAAAGTGCTTATTAGCTTGTTATAACAATAGCTGACTAAATGCCAACAAAAAAGTCACTCTTAACATTTACTTTCATTTTTGGACTCAGTTAAAATACTTCCAAAACATGCCTGCTTTGACTTTGAGAAGATGTAATTGTGATATTAAATTTTATTGAAATTTCTCAGGTCCTGATTTGTGTACAGGCTGGTGCTCTGAGTTCCCACGAAGCAGTAAAACGTTTAAAATACTGTCTGTGCAAATGCAAAATTTATGAATTCACACATCTCTGGTTGATTTATGTGAAATAATAATGCACTATTTAATGCTTAAACATGGCTAGGAGCAATGCTAGGCTATCAAGATGTACAATGGAATAATAGATTTATAAGACGGATAACCTTCTTGCCTAGAGAAGCTTGTTTAAAGGTGTTGTACAGATATATTAAACTATATGTAATTTTATACTAACTTAATGCTGTAGGCCTGTACTGCAGGCAATAAAAGATTACAGCCATGGCATTTGCAATAATAAAATGATCTGGCTATTCAACATAAGGTATCCGAGGACTAAAAGGAGATAAGGAACTTGTTTAAAACTTTTGTCCCTTTTCATTCATTGCTCTTTACAAAATATTTTTTCCCCTTTATGTGGCCAACATAAATCCATGGCCCAGTGGTTGGCTCTCATCATATAACTGGGGGGAAAGTTGTCCGTGAGGATAATAACTGGATGTTTTCAGGGGTCCTCCAGGCACATTTAATTATCACCTGATTTGCTTCAAAAAACTAACCAAAAACTTACTAAGAAGAGACACAAGAGAGAATTATAATTGGCAGGTTTTGGGTAGTCTCTTTACGCTTTTTCTTACACTGCAAGTATTTTTTTTTAGTTAGAGAAGAATATATGATTGTCATCTGAGTTTTTGTTCTTTTGATCTTTGTAAGGTAAACACTGAGATACATGAGTCCAACTTTTATGTCCACAGGAGTTAAGAGATATTTAAAAAAACTTTAGAATTTTTAGTTTTTATTCTCATGATATAGTGCTTTGAATTTTGTAGTGATTTTCTTTCAAAGTTTAGTCTTCTTCCACATAGCGTGCTAAATTAACGACAAAATGTCTCTCTAAAATAGAGATATAAACAAGGTAATAAGCACCTTTAAAATATTTCCATTTGTATTGCAATTTCAACTAAATTTAACAGATGTATTCATTTATCTATACACAATTCAGCAAAGTGATTTTAATAACCAATGAGATATTTTAAATTTTGTATTAACTCACGCAGAATTTTAATGTGATCTCTTGAAATCACCAATTTTTTGTCACATTAAAACTTCAATGTAATTCATTTTACATTGATTAGTGGAGTTACAAACCAAAAGAGCTATACAGGATAAATGACCAGCTATAAGGAAATACAGATTAGTCCTATATTTTCTAATTATATTGCAAAAGGTCCAGTTGAAATCAAATTAAAATTTGGTGACATTTTCACAATACTTAAAATGAAGAATTTTTTCTTCCAGCTAGGAAAACTCCATTGTATCTCTGTGATTCCACTGCCTATTTAAGACAACATTTTAGAAGTCTGACAGTAATATGAATTATATGACCTTCAAGTCAGCTCTGTGTGTCAGGAAATAGCCTGATTGCCTATTGACCATGAAATGTTCCACTCTCTTTCTGTGCATATAGTTTCAAAACAGCAAAATTTCCACAGCTATTGTTAATGGCATTTCAGCAACTTTTATTCCCTATTTACACATACAGTGGAAACACATATAATTAAGAAATATCTCAGTGCTGAAATATCATCTTATGTGGGGCTCTAACTGTTGAATGATTTTCAGCATTTTCAACATTGCCCTTAGGAGATGTACAGTATCTGAACAGCCAGAAATCTAGTAACCAGTTGAAACTTGCCAAAATATGTGGTCAGTCTGAGTTTTGAAAAGGCAGAGTATATAACTTGTGCCCATTTTAACCAGGTTTCCTGTAAGTAACATCTGCCTAGCTTCCTGAGGTGTGTCCAACAGAAACACTGTGAAAACAGATAACTGTAGTCCCCTTTATAAAAAGAAGAGAGGAAAGAAACTGCGGCATTGTACAACCTTGATTCCTAAAGGTATACAAATGTATTCTCATTCAGAAAAACATGGATACAAATACAAAAGATACAAATATAATTAGAAAAACATTAAATATGATATTTGAATGTTTTGAATTGGAAGTTAAGAGAACGTTCAAGTTTCTGCTTAAATGCCACCAATATAAACAGCACAACCTCCCCCACCATCCCACTTATTATTTTCTATCTTCTTACCCTGCTTTTTTTTGTCATAGCACCTTTAATACCCAAATTATTATGTATTTATTTGCTTCTCAGTTTATTGTCTCATGCCCTCTACCAAAATGTAAGCTCCTTGAGTGCAGGAAGTGACTCCATTTTGTTCATTGCTGTATCTTCTGCACATTGGACCAATAGCACCCGGTAGCACCCAATAAATAAATATTCATTGAACAAATCAGTTATCTCTTTCACTAACTAATTCTTCAGGCTTAAATTAGTCATTTAATTCTTCTAGGTTTCAGTCTTCCTCTACTTTCTAGAATGAGGGATTGGACAATCTTTCAGATTAAAAGACTTTAATTTTATTAAAATGCTTTGATCCCATAGACTTTCCCCTATAAATTATGGTATGTTTCCATGAATCTATTTAGACTAGTATTAATTTCCCAAACAACACTGGTTATGGCTATTCCATAGCCATAACCAGATTAGAGCCAGAACAAGTGTCATACTTTTCCATTGTAATAATACAAATTCGTCTTCAGTTACTTAAATTAAAAAAAAACATAGTTTTGTGCCAGCTATCAATTTATTGCTCCTCAAGTCCAAATCCCTCATTGTACTGCCTTGTGATACTGCAGCTGGACCCTCTAAACATTTCTCCTTTTGTCGACTCCGTTTGTCGACTGGCACAGTTGTAAGTATTATCAGTAGAGGGTGACAGTGGAACAGTGGAGAAGAAAAGGATTTCTCTTCCTCACTCAGTGTTTCCTCCCTTCTGGCTCCTGCAGTGTCCGCCAGCATGTGGGACGCTGGTAGCTCGGTTACCTAGCAATCCAGCAGCAATCCTGCAGGCAGCTTGCTAGCAAGTTCAACTGGTACCCCAGCCAGCAACCCAGAAAGTCTGGCAGGCACCTCATTGAATGGTTTCCTACAGTGTTCTGCCTGTGTTCTAGATGATTTCCCAGTAAGTTTCACTGGCATCCCAGCAAGAAGTTTCCTGTTTGTCCTACGATCCCACTTCAGGGAGCTTCTCCTCCATCCAGTGGGCTGCAGCCATGCCCTCTCCAACAGGACTGAATCTCAGCATGGAGGCAGGGGCCGCTTCCAGATTCAGTCCTTCCCGTCGGTACTTGGACTTAGCCATGGCATCAGTGACTGCATTCTCTCCTGTTCCTGTATTCCTAGAAGTTCTCTTTACCGCTTAGTAATTAATCCCTAACTACTAATTAATAATGCTCTATAAGAAACATTAATTATTCAGATTACTGTGTGTTTTCTGTCTCCTAGCTGGACCCTGAATGATAATAGTGGTTAAAAGGAAGTGTTTCCCACACACTGCAGCTAGATTAGTCTGAATTTTCTACAATACTATTTGTGCAGAAAGGAGGCAAGAGCTCCATATAAAAGTTCGGTGGGTCTTGGAGAGGTCAGAGAAACTTAATAAAATTAAATAATATATCTACTATTACCTCAAATTATGCTAACATCTGTATTTGTATTTTCTAAAGTTATGGGAGTTCTTGTAATTTTGAGACTTATTGTTCCTCAAAATGCTGAAAAACAGAAAAGTCTACAATTTAAAAGTATGCTTCCTTAGTTTCTAGTTTTATACAAGGGAATTATTTAAAAAGAAGGACAGATTTTTAATGAGCAAGTGAGGGAAATGGAATTTAATAAATATACACGCCCCTAGAGTCCAATTTCCTTTATATAAGAGGATGAAATTGGTCAGTAAAATGCCTTCATGTAGATTGTTACAGACTTTACACATGGTTGTTCATATGTATAAACCATCAGGGTCTTACACATCCAACGATAGTAGCTTAAACAGGATTAGGCATGGGTACTTTCTGGTTAGAATATAGTATTTCACAGACCCCATGAATCTTATGGAATGCTTTATGGTTTAATGCAAAACATACAGTAAACCTTCACACCATGATTTCTTTTCTCCTTTTAAAAGACTCCCTTAAATTGTACAACAAACATATATTCTTTTGAATCCGCTTCCTTAACTTTCAAAAGCTAAATAAGATCCTCAATACTTGTGCACCTTCTCCTTTCACTTAGTCAAAAGAGATGATGTCATCTGACAAAAATATACATACTTTCTTGTATTCCTCAGAAGCTGTACAGATGTCCTTCACTCTTTTAAGAAACTATTAAAGTCAGAATTGGAAATAGGTACCCTATTTAAGTAAACATCAGCAGTAATTTCTGGAAAAAAAAACATTTAAAAAATTTTCATTGATGTTATTCTTTAACTGCTACTTATTAAATATTTTGAAAGTGTTGTCCCTATTGAAGAAAAGAAATAGAGCCATAATGGGAAATAATTTCCACATAAACTATATTGCACATTGAGGGCAGGCTGGACGGGAGAATAAGAGAGGGAAGATGATGAAATTGTAACCTATAAGCCTGAGTATATGTGGAAGTAGAGATTGTTCTTGCCTGGCAAGACAGATATGTTTCTTAGGTATGTTTTAACTGTCAGAGACTGCTCCACTGCTCTCTCTACAGCTTTCCTGCTATTTCAGTCCTGGTGTAAGCCCCTTATTTTACAAACCTAAAAACTAAGCTCTATATAGGTTAAGTCCAAGGTTACATGGCTCATTGCTGAACTGAGCTGTAATGCATCATTGAGAATTGCAGTCCTTTTAACCAAAATCAGTTCACAAACACTGTAGCAGAGGCTGCTAGTTGCCTCCCAAAGTCCAACCTCCTGTCTTGAAAAAGAATTTCACTTTGCAGATGAGCACATTGCTACCCAGTCTCCCTTGCAGCTAGGTGTGGCTATGAGACCACTTCACCTGTAAGATGTAAATAGAAATTATCTACGTAGCTTCCAAGACTTATCACTAAAGCTGTAAGTCACAGCCTTTTCTGCTACCTCAGTGTTCTTGCTGACTCAATTAAAATTAAGCAGCTGACAAACAGTCATCTTGGACCCTAAAGTGATATACTAAATATGAGTGACCAACAAGAGAGAAAGATCATGGGTCTTGATGCAATGATGCCACCATACCAGGCCTGGACTCCTTACCTCATGAAAGAAATTATCTTGTCTAAGCCACTAATAGGCACCTAGAGCTAATCCTAATCCTAACTGCCACAGACAATTTCAGGTCCACGATTTTTATGGCTGCTCTTTGAGACAGAACAACAATTCCTCACATCTCAGGAACAGTCCAACAAAAATCTGAGACCTTGCTACTCAAAATGTGATTCACTGACCAGCAGCAATGACATCAGCTGCAAGTTCAATAGCAACTCAGAATGTCAGTCCTCTCCATACGAAACCTGAATCTGCATGTTTACAGGATTCCTGGGTATCTGCACTCACACTGAAGAAGTAAGTACTATTTTAAGGTAACTGACATAACCTTCCCATGAAAATTGCTATTGGACCTAGTGGGTGTGGCCAATTTTATTGTGGGATCTCTCTGCTAAGACCAGCAAATATCATGGTCTCTGGCAAGATGTCCAAAATCTGATTCAGGTCTTCCGGTCACTCGTAGCCAGCTATCAGGTGAAGATCTATATTTTAAATTTAATAATCATCAAAAAGCAATTTTAAACATAATTTTTTATGTCTCAGTAAACCCTAGGAACACAAAATGTCAACAATCAGTTAAAATATGAGGAAATATTGGTCTCTGTTTTCTTCTTGTGATTGTATAACAGTCCTTTGCAGAAGTGGACACAGTTGATCCAGAGGCATGTTTCTTAATCCCAGTCTAGAGTTTTATCCACACACTGTGGTTTGTTTGTGCAGGAAGGAGGAAAGCACTACATACAAGAGTTTGGTGTGTCTTGGAGATGTCTGAGAAACTTGCTCCTGGTTACAATGAATCAGAGGTAGAAATTGGACTGCCATGGGTCCTAAATATAAGATTCCTTCTCTTTGACCCAAAAAAAAAAAAAAAAAAAAACCATTACACAATTTTGTCTCTGAAAACATTCTTCAAAAAGGTTTTTATAAGGTGAAGATTCAAAGTTGTATAATGTCCATTTTAAGTGAGTAACTACAATTATTTAAAAATGATTTCTCTTGATATCTTGGCTTCTGTAATTATTTTAAAAATAATTATGATCTAAAGCCTAGTAAGTTTAAGGATGGGCACTCATAACTTTAACAAACCAGAAAGAGTGGCTGTCCAAACAACTGAACATGTTCTTGAATATTCTTGCTCTGGTACTGACAATGTTTGGAATTGGTGCTAGTTCTCATTGTTCTGTCCAGTGCTTTTTTTAAAAAAAAATTATTTTATTAATTTTTATTTTGTTTAATTTTACTTTAAATTCTGGGATATATGTGCAGAATGTGCAGGTTTGTTACATAGGTATACAAGTACCATGGTGGTTTGCTGTACCTATTCACCCATCCTCTAGGTTCCCTCCCCTCAGCACCCCACCCCACAACAGGCCTCAGTGTGTGACGTTCCCCTCCTTGTGTCCATATGTTCTTGTTGGTCAACTGCCACTTAGGAGTGAGAACATGTGGTGTTTGGTTTTCTGTTCCTGTGTTAGCTTGCTGAGGATGATGGCTTCCAGCTTCATCCATGTCCCTGCAAAGGACATGATCTCATTCTTTTCCATGGCTGCATAGTATTCCATGGTGTATGTCTCTGTTATCCAGTCTATCACTGATGTGCATTTAGGTTGCTTCCATGTCTTTGCCATTGTAAATAGTGCCACAATAAACATACATGTGCATGTGTCTCTATAGTAGAATGATTTATATTCCTTTGGGTATATACACAGTAATGGGATGGCCAGGTCAAATGGTATTTCTGGTTCTAAATCCTTGAGGAATCGCCACACTGCCTTCCACAATGGTTGAACTAATTTACATTCCCACCAACAGTGTAAAAGCATTCCTATTTCTCTACAGCCTTGTCAGCATCTGTTGTTTTTTTGAGTTTTTAATAATCACCATTCTGACTGGTGTGAGATGGTATCTCATTGTGGTTTTTGATTTGCATTTCTCAAGACTCAAAAAATCAGTGATGTCTTGAGCTTTTTTTCATGTTTGTTGGCCACATAAATGTCTTCTTTTGAGAAGTGTCTGTTCATATACTTTGCCCACATTTGATGGAATTGTTTGTGGGTTTTTTGTAAATTTGTTTAACTTCCTCATAGATTCTGGATATCAGACCTTTGTCAGATGGGTAGATTGCAAAAATTTTCTCCTGTTCTGTAGGTTGCCTGTTCTCTCTGATGATAGTTTCTTTTGCTGTGCAGAACCTCTTTAGTTTAATTAGATCCCATTTGTCAATTTTGGCTTTTGTTGTAATTGCTTTTGGTGTTTTAGCCATGCAGTCTTTGCCCATGTCTATGTCCTGAATGGTATTGCCTAGGTTTTCTCCTAGAGTTTTTATCATTTGGGGTTTTACGTTTAAGTTTTTAATCCATCTTGAGTTAATTTTTGTATAAGGTGTAAGGAGGGGGTGTCAGTTTTCTGCATATGGCTATCTAGTTTTCCCAGCATCATTTATTGAATAGAAAATCCTTTCCCCATTGCTTGTTTTTGTCAGGTTTGTTGAAGATCAGATGGTTGTAAATGTGTGGTGTTATTTCTAAGGTCTCTGTTCTGTTCCATTGGTCTATATTTCTGTTTTGGTACCAGTACCATGCTGTTTTGGTTACTGTAGCCTTGTAGTATAGTTTAAAGTCAGGTAGCGTGATGCCTCCAGCTTTGTTCTTTTTGCTTAGTTTGATGGGAATAGCACTGAATCTATAAATTACTTTGGGGAGTATGGCCACTTTCATGATATGGATTCTTCCTATCCATGAGGATGGAATATTTTTCCATTTGTTTGTGTCCTTTCTTATTTCCTTGAGCAGTGGTTTGTAGTTCTCCTTGAAGATGTCCTTCACATCCCTTGTTAGCTGTATTCCTAGGTATTTTATTCCCTTTGTAGCGATTGTGAATGGGAGTTCATTCATGATTTCACTCTCTGCTTGTCTACTATTGGAGTATAGGAATGCTTGTGATTTTTGCACATTGCTTTTGTATCCTGAGACTTTGCTGAAGTTGCTTATCAGCTTACGGAGTTTTGGGGCTGAGATGATGGAGTTTTCTAAATATAGAAACATGTCATCTGCAAACAGAGACCATTTGACTTCCTCTCTTCCTATCTGAATACACTTTATTTCTCTTGCCTGATTCCAAGAGATTGTAAATTTGTGGTGTTATTTCTGAGGTCTCTGTTCTGTTCCATTGGTCTTTGAATTTTATCAAAGGCCTTTTCTGCATCTCCTGAGATGATCATGTGGTTTTTGTCATTGGTTCTGTTTATGTGATATATTACATTTACTGATTTGTGTATGTTGAACCAGCCTTGCATCCCAGGGATGAGGCCAACCTGATTGTGGTGGGTAAGTTTTTTGATGTGCTGCTCTGTCCAGTGTTTTCAATGGAGTTTCAAGCAGTTATAGTTACAGACACGAGGGAACTCAAGTCAAACATACCTAAGGATATAATTCAAGATTTTCAAATAAATTAAATAGAGTAATATAGATTTGTCTCTCATACATTTATCTTGGCTTTATTTAATATAATAAATATATCAGAAATTCCACATATTTAAAATGTGCCATGTAATATCTTATGATACATGTATACTCATGAAACCATTACCAGAATCAAGGCAATAAATCACTCTCAAAAGTGTCCTCATGCTAAGTTTTTGTTTGTTTGTTTGTTTGTTTGTTTGAGACAGCGTCTCACTCTGTCGCCAGGCTGGAGTGCAGTGGCCTGATCTCAGCTCACTGCAACCTCCGTCTCCTGAGTTCAAGCGATTCTCCTGACTCAACCTCCTGAGTAGCTGGGACTACAGGCACGCACCACCATGCCCGGCTAACTTTTTCGTATTTTTAGTAGAGATGGGGTTTCACCATGTTGGCCAGGATGGTCTCAATCTCTTGACCTCGTGATCCGCCTGCCTTGGCCTCCCAGAGTGCTGGGATTACAGGCGTGAGCCACTGTGCCTGGCCTATGCTACTTTTTAATCCCTCCCACCTGTACCTCCCCACTCCCTGATCCCTTTCTAGAGATAATCACTATTTCTGCTTTCTGTCACGAGATTAGTTTGCATTTTTTACGATATTATTTGTCTAACTTTTTCCACTCTGCATAACAATTCTGATAATCATCTATGTTGCTGCATAGACTAATAGTTGTTCCTTTTTATTGCTGAGTAGTATTACATTATAAAGACATATAATAGCAAATATGTACATATAATAGCAAATGTCCACATAGCAATGGACATTTGGGTTGATTCCAATTTTCAGCTATTATAAATAAAGTTGCTAAGAACATTCATGTAAAAGTCTATGTGTGGACACACAATTTCATTTCTCCTGGGGGAATGTTTGGAACTTGCAGTAGATCAATGTTTACATTTTTAAGAAACTGCCAAACTGTTTTATTTTAAACCCCACCAGCAATAACAAAGTTCAAGTTTCTCCACATCATCACCAACTCTATTGTCTGTCTTGCTGATTAGAGTCATTTCAGTGGGTGTGTAGTGGTGTCTAACTGTGGTTTTAATTTATATTTCCCTGATGATTAATGATGTTGAGCATATTTTCATATGTTTATTTTCCATCCATATGTCTTTCGGTAAATGATCTGTTTAAATCTTTTGGCTTTTAAAAATTGGGCCATTTGCTGTCTTATTATCATATTTTGGAGTTCTTTTAATACTCTGGATATAAGTGCTTTAACAAATGTAATTTGCAAATATATTTTCCCAGTCCATAAATAATGTTTTAAATTGTGATACAGGTCAATATATCACTTTTTTCTTTTTGCATTGTATTTTTGATGTTGTGTTTAAATACTCATGATCTAACCCAAGACCACAAAGACTTCTAAATATGTTTATCTCCAGTTGTTCTATGTTTTTCAGGTTTTACACTTAAGTGTAGGGACCATTTCAAGTTAATTTTTTACATGTTGCAATGTATAGTCAAATTTCATTTTTTTACAGATGGCTTTCCAATTATTCCAGCATCATTTATTGAAATTATTATCCTTTATCCATAGAATTGTCTTTGTTGAAAATCATTTCACCATGTATTTTGAGCTTGTTTCTGGGTTCTTTATGCCTTTCCATTGATCTAGTTCTCTATTCTTATGCCAATACCACATTATTTGATTCCTGTAAGTAATAAGTCTTGAAAAACAGACATTGTAAGTCTTCCAACTTTATGTAGAAATAAAACTGAATTTTATTCTTCTACCATTTCAATTTTGACTTATTTTATTTTGTCTTTCCTTATAGCATTGGCTAGAACTGCTAGTATAATGTTGAACAGAAGGGATTAAAGAGAATACCCTTGCCTTGATCTTAGGAAAAAAGCACTCAGACTTTTGGTATTAAGGGTGATATAGCTGTAGGTTTTTCATAGATCCTTTCATCAGGTTGAGAAATATCCTTTTCATTCACAGTTTTCAGAGAATTTTTATCAGGGATAATATTTAATTTTGTCAGTGGCTTTTCCAGTCTCTATCAATTTAACCATATGCATTTTTATTAATATGATAAATTACACTGATTGATTTTCAAATGTTAAATGAAACTTGCATTCCCAGGATCACCCTCACTTGATCAAGTTTTATTGCCTTTTTAAAAAATGTTAATGAATTCTATTTAGAAAATTTTGTTAATTGTTTTTGCATCTATGTTCGTGAAGGTTATTGGTCTGTAATCTTTTGTCCTCTAACATCTTTTTCTGGTTTTGGTATCAGGGTAATGCCATTCTCATAGAATAAGTTGGTAAGTGTTCCATTTTCTTCAGTTTTCTATGTTTGTGTAGACTTAGTATTATTTATTCCTCCAAAGTTTGTAGAATTGCCTAGTGAAGCCGCCTCAGCCTGGAGCTTTCTTTGTGGGAAGGTTTTAGCAAATTCAATTTCTCTTGTAGACACAAACCTATTCTGGCTACCTGTTCCTTCTAGAGTGAACTTTGGTAGTTTATGTCTTTCAAGAAATGTGTCCATTTTATCTAAACCATCAAATTTGGGGACATAAAGTTGTTTGTACTATTCATTTATTGTCCTTTTAATATAGGTAGCATCTGTATCTATGTCAGCTCTAGAATTTCTGATATTGATAATTTGTGTTTCCTCTCTTTTTTTCTGATCAGTCTGGCTAGAGGTTTATCAAGTTTGTAAATTCATTCAAAGAACTAGCTTTCGGTGTCACTAATTTTCGGTGTCATTGATTTTCTCTTTTTAAAATTTATTTCTGCTCACATAGTATTTTTCTTATATCTGTTTACTTTGGCATTAGTTTGCACTTTTTTCTAGTCTCTTAAAATAGAATCAGAGGTCAATGATTTCAACTTTTCTTCTTTTCTAATACAGACATTTCTGGCTATAAAATTTTCTCTAATGACTGCTTTAGCTATAGTCTACAAATTTTCATATGTGGTGTTTTCACCTTCAAAAGATTTCACTTTTGATTTCTTCTTTAACTCATCAGATATGCAGAATTATACATTTTCCAAATATTTATGAACTTTTTAGGAATTTTTTTGGTTAATGATTCCCAATTTATTTTTAGAGAATATACTTTATAAGATTTGAATTTAATGAAACTTGTTTTATGATCCCAAATATAGTTTAATAAATGTATTGGGTACACTAGAAAAGAATGTGTATTCTGCTCATTGAGTGTAGGGTTCTAGAAATAAAAGATCAAGTTTGTTGATGGAGTTATTCAAATATTCTACATCCTGTAGATTTTCCATTTACTTATTCTATAATTATTGAGACGAAATGTTGAAATCTCTGATGCTAATTGAGGATTTTTTCTATTTCTTCTTGAAGTTCTATCAGCTTTTTTTTCCATTTTGAAATGTTTGTCTCTGTTATTAACTTGTTATTAACCTTTGTTATTCAATGCATAAACGATTTGGCTTATTATATGTTCAGAAATCTACTTCAATGGATATTAACGTAACTACTCCAGCTTTCTTCTGATTAGCGGTAGTACATCTTTTTCCATTATTTTATTTCTATTTATTTCTTTATATTTAAAGTGGATTTCTTGCAGACAATATATGGTTTAGCCTTGTTTTTTTAATCCAAATTGCCAATCTTACCTCTTAATATGAAAATTAGAGCATTCACATTCATCGTGATAATTTATATTCTTGGGTTTAAATTTACCATCTTGCTATTTGTTTCCTATTTGGTTCGTCTGATTTTTGCTCTCTTTTTTCTACCTTTTTTGGATTAATTTTTTTCATGATTGCACTTTATCCTCTTTGTTAGTTTATTGACTAACAAAGACTTACATATTTGTTTTTATCCTTTTAGTGGTGGTATTTTTAGTTTTATAGCATAGATCTTTAACTTACTACAGTCTACTTTCAAGTAATATAATAACACTTTAAGTACAATGTAAGAAGCTCACAGTTTACTTCTGTTTCTGTCTCCCAGACTTTGTGCTACTTCTATCAGATGTTTTCTTTCTACATGTTATAAACTCTACAATACATTATTTCTATTTAAACAATAAAGGATCAAACAAACTGAACAAAAATCAAAAAAAGTATTTTACATTTAACCACATATTTACTATTTCCAGTGTTCTTTATTCTCTTACGTGGATGCAGGTTTTTATCTAGTATCATTGTCCAAAGGACTTTTTTGTTTTAACATTTTTTATACTGAGGATCTAATGGCTATGAATTCTTTGGGCTTTTTTAATATTTGAAAAAATGTTTCTTATTTTTAAAAAACATATTTTTACTATATAGAGAATTCTAAAATAACCACTTCTTTCTTTCAGTACTTTAAATATGATGCTCTACTATCTTCTGACTTGCATTATTTCTGTTAAGAAATATGCTATCATGCTTACCTTTTTACAGCTAAACATATGTAATGTTTCTTTTTTATCCTTGCCTTTAATATTTTCTTTTATCACTTGTTTTAAGCAATTTGCATTGGAGCAATTATCTTCATGTTTCTTATGCTTAAGGTTTTTTCATCTTCTTGGATCTCTGGATTTATGGTTTTCATTATATTTGCAAATTTTTCAGTGTTTTTTTTTTTTTTTTTTTTTTTTTTGCAGGGGCAGAGGTTGCTTCAGGTAGGAGTATAAATATTGTCCCTGTTATTCCATTATATCTGAAAGTAAACATCTTATTTTAAAATCTCTCTGAAGTAAAAGCAAATAGAACTGAATTTGAATCTAAGCTTTACCACCTACTAATTGTTATTTAATTTCTTTAAGCTTTATTTCTCCATTTCTGAATAAAATAAGAATTAAATGAGATAATGTAAACAAAGCATTTATAGTGTATCACATATACAAAGCATTCAATAAATACAGAAATTATATCTCTAAAACTGAAGACTCAGGGCATGAAAAACAAAGTTCAATTAATGAAAATTATTAAGAACATTTTATGAACACATCCATGCTATTTTCTGTTTTTGTTGCATGTTTTACAGAATTATCTGTTATTTCTTGCTGTGAGCTAAAATCTCTTTGTGTTTCAGAAAGTGACTTACTATTTTGCATTGTACTTGATCCAGAATGTGGTTGGATTTTGTCAGCTATGGAGAACATTAATGTTTTAGAATTTGTTTCTCTGAGCTTTCTCACCTTCCCCCACCCCTTGAAAATGGTAATGACAATAGCATCTTAGAAATTCAGTGTTATTTCTTCAGAATGCTACACGTGGCAGAAAAGCCTATCCCCAACCCTAGGCATCTATTCCCAACCTAATTAAAATTCCCATTACCTGTGACAGCAACTTCTTGCTTACACACTAGCTACCAACTTCTTTGGGGCAAAGTTTGCCTTATCAAACTTTGACAGATAGTTATAGCAAATGGAAAATACAGAGAATTCTTATTTAGTAGTTTCTAAAATAATCAATTTTACTATCTTAGAAACTTTCATTTGTTCAAGCTAATCTGTCAGAGCATTTGTTCTATCCTTTAAAAATTAATTATGATGCTGTCTTGTTATATTCTAAAATATGCCAAGTCCTTTGTGATTAAGAATTCTTTATTTCTGACTTGGGGAGTAATCCTTAACTCAGAAGAAGGGGAAGAAACAGCTGTGCTCCTGACAGCTAACAGCTGATTAAGAGGCTGAAAATATTTTGGAAGAAAGTCTCTTTATGAAAAAAGAAAAATTCCAGCAAGATGCCAACAGCAAAGAATTCTAATAATTAGAGCTGAAATACCTTTGTGTCTTGGTATAACAGATAGTGGAGGAAACCAAGGGAGAAATCGCCTGGATGTCACTCAATATGAAGAATTCATGTTTTGAGTTTTAAAATGGTCATCACTGCAGAGTTGTTGGGTGGTAGTAGTTGTTGATAATGATGATGCACTTTTTTCTCTAGGTTGAAAAGTTTGCTATTTTATAAGTGTAATGGTTGATACTCAGTTAAATCCAACAGAACAAGGTTCTATGCCAAAGCTTTCTTTTGTAAGCACCTCGTCTGTAACTTTGGTCAAATTCAGTCATCTTTTGGGAAACTTGCCACAGTTATTAAATTTAACTCAGATCACTAATTGATAAGTATTAATCTGTTGGAAAAATGTGATAAAATAAATTAAGAGAGAACTGAGCTAGAATGTAGTATTAGGGAAGGAGAATTTTTGGAAGAAAATGAACCCTAAGAAAGATTTAAAGCCTTATATTTAATTTTACCATAATTTAGGTAATTTAAAGATTTAATAATTCAGAGAAGAATTTGGTTAATGGTATCATTAATTAAAACTAATTTTGTGAAACCCCTCATATAATAAAATAGAAGCTCCAGACTATTATGACCCTGGAAATAATTGAACAATATATTATCCATTTCTAAATTTTTTAAGATGAACATAAAATTCAATTAAATAAATTGAAATAATTACCACAAAAATAATGATAATAATAATGTATTGAGAAATTATGAGATTTTTATAAGAAACTAAGCATGTCCTATAAATTTTAGAAATACCTATTATTATTTTTTCATTTGCATAAAACATACTGTATTTTCAAATAAAATTAAAAATTAAAGATGTTCATAAGTTAGAAAAAATTTTTAAGACCATCTTAATTAACATAATATAATTTATTGGTCAGTCTTAAAAATTGTGCAAAGTAAACATTTTCTCTTGAAAACTGTAAGACAAAGTCTTAATTTTTCTAATTATCAAAGGTTACATTAATATACTAAACAGTGGTGTTTTATTTGCTGACATTATGTGTCATTTTAAGATACAAGGCCCTTCTAATCAGAACCAAGCTAACACAATCCATATAAGTGAATTAATAGTCATTCCTTCATTGAGTAATTGGCCAAAAGTCTTTGGGCAAGAAAAAGACATTTTCTTGTCAATTTAAATAGAAAAATATAGGGAATATGCTGTAAAACTACAAGTACAAAATACAGGAGTGGTCTTTTTAATATTTTTATTTTCTAAAAATTTTTGTATCAATAAAAGCTATATGTAAGATGATATTATTAAATAATCCATAAATGTTGCTACTCCTATGTTAGCAAGAACATATTTTGATAATTATATATAGCGAAGTAATGAGTTTTGTAACTTGACCATATTCTATAGTTCAAATTTAAAATATAAATTAAGTCTTTTTGATAAAAACAGAAATGGGGTCTCACCACGTTGCCCAGGCTGGTCTTGAAATCCTGGGCTCAAGCGACTCTCCTTCTTTGGCCTCCCAAAGTGAGGAGATTACGACATGAGCCACGGCACCCAGCCTGAATTAAGTCTTTCAAATAGATTCTCAGTGGATGTAGCAGTAAAATTAGTGAGGAACAGGCAACAACACAAGAACCCCTCATTCTTATAGAGTCCACTTTAGATTAATCCCATCCTAAATCATATCTGCCCAGAACCAACACTCTAGCATAGGATCGCCAGCCTTCTCACGCACACAGTACATCTCCTGGATACCTACTATACCTTTCTCTACAAAGGTTGCCTATAAGTTACAGGAGCCTATGAAGAAATATCAGCTCACCCCAATTCAGCAGTTACCAGATCTTGAGAGTGTTTGTTCCTTTCATGTATATATTGGTGGTGACTTCTCAGAGCAGGTAGCTCAATATAAACTTCAGGTAGCCCAAAAAAGGGATACAAATTGGAAGACAGTGAGCTGGATTTAGATGACAGAGGAGTTTTTGTTTGGCTAGCACTGTGTTCTTGAAAAAGTCTAAACTGGCATGCCTCTATGGGAAGCACCCAGATCCTGTTCTCTATAGCCTCTTTCATGCTCTGTTGCCTCACCCCCAGGTGAGTTCCACATGTATGTGCTTGCCCAGCTTGAAGGCACTGACATTCAGAACACCTGCAGAAGGAGCATGGTTCCAGCCCGTCCCCTCAACAAGTGATCAAGTAGATGCCACATTGACTTTTCTGCCCTCCAGATCTCATGGCCCCATAAATTCAATCACAGAAACAAACTCACTTGAGGCTACCCAACAACAACAACATGAAATGATTTATGGTGGAATCTACTAGAGGTAAACACAACTAATAAACATTATTAAAAATATAAATAAAACATAACATAAAAGGCCTTAATAAGTAGAGATATGAAGTTTCTGGATAGAAACTCATTTAAAAAAATAGCTTAATTGAGGTATACTTTAAGGATACCACAATTAATAAAATGGATAAAATTAATCCATTTTAAGTGTACAGTTTGGACAAGATTAATCCATTTTAAGTGTACAACTCAATAATTTTTAGTAAACTTACATAGTTTGACTAGTATAACCCAAGTTCATTTTTAGGCTTTATTTATTTATTTATTTTGGAGATGGAGTCTCACTCTGTTGCCCAACCTGGAGTGCAGTGGTACAATCTCGGCTCACTGCAACCTCTGCCTCCCAGGTTCAAGTGATTCTCCTGCCTCAGCCTCTTGAGTAGCTGGGATTACAGGCATGCACCACCACACCCAGCTAATTTTTGTATTTTTAGTAGAGATGGGATTCGCTCCATGTTGGCCAGGCTGGTCTTGAACTCCTGACCTCAAATGATCTGCCTGCCTCAGCCTTCCAAAGTCCTGGGATTACAGGCATGAGCCACCAGCACCTGGCCTCATTTTTAGGCTTAATATAATTTTACTCAAACTCATAGCAGGAACGGTTTTTAGGAAATAGAATAGGAACTTGACAAAACTATTCTAAGGTTCATTTGGGAGAACGATGTGTAAAAGTGAACAAAAATGTTTAGAAAAAGAAGAGTGATGAGGGATAATTTACCCCCAACATTAACACATTTACAAAATTCTACCTTTATATTCTAAAGGTAATGTGGTACTGGCCCAAAATTGATCAGTAGAGTCTATAGTCAAGGAGTGGATCCTACAAGATATAAATATATTTTGTATGTTTGTTTGTTTTGTAGAGATGGTCTCATTCTGTCACCCAGGCTACAGTATGGTGGTGCAATCATAGCCCACTGGACTCAAGCAATCCTCCCGCCTCAGCCTCTTGAGTAGCTGGGACTACATGGTTGCATATAATAATTTTTAATTGATAAATATAACTTTTCAAATTAGTAAAGGGAATTTTATTTAATAAGTAGTGTGTGTTTGATTAATTTTTGGAAAAATTTTTAACCTTAACTTACATCAGACCTAATAGTACTCCAAATGGTTTAAAGAATTAAAATTACAATAGGGATTTTTTTAAACAAAACACAAGAGCAATATAAGTCATAGATTTGACAATATAAGCATTGAAAACTCATATATATGAATTTTTATTTTAGGGAGGTATTTAATACACTTAAAATGGATATAAATTATCCACTTTAAGTGTACAATTATACACAAAATGGATTGATTCTATCCATTTTATTAATTGAGGCACATTTAAAAACAAAGACCACATGATTATTAAGTGACAGAACTGGGGTCTGTGCTCTTAATCAATATCCTAATCACCTCCCAAAGATAAAAATTGTATTAAGTCTAAAAATGAACTTGGGTTATACTGGTCAAACTGTGTAAGTTTACTAAAAATTATTGCATTGTACACTTAAAATGCATTAATTTTATACATTTTATTAATTGAGGCACATTGAAAAACAAAATTAAACAAAAAAAGGTAGAAAGAGTTTCCATAATAAGTAGGACAAATGTTTATAAGCCTAATACAGAGAAAATTCTAACAAGTCAACAAGAGAAATACAGATCCAGATAGAAAACTGAGTGTCACTTTTTGGATTCTCCAGAAAGCAACATGGAGATGAAGTTCAGTGTTTAGGACATTTATTTGCAAATGTGGAAGACGGGACAGGATAGCACAGTAAGGCAGGAGAAATTGAGATGTGATATGGGTCTGACAGCTTCAGCTAATCCCATGGTGAGGTTGAGGGGAAGAATTGGGCTCTAGATCTAGAATGGCCATTCACAGTTGTCTCAAACTGGACCAAGATGTTCCTTCCTGTATACAGTCATGTACTACATTAAGGACACTTCGGTCAACAACAAATACCATATATAACAGTGGTACCATAAGATTTTAATGGAGCTGCCCTGTTCGGGTGTGCCATATTTTATCATTTATACTACGTTTTTACTATATCATTTTATGTTTAGATACACAAATCCTTACCATTGTGTTACAGTTTTCTACAGTATTCAATACAGTAACATGCTGTACAGATTTGTAGCCTTAGAGTAAGAGTCTCTACCATCTAGCCTAGGTGTGTAGTAGGCTCTACCATCTAGGTTCATGTAAGTACACTCTATGGTGTTCACATAATAACAAAATGGCCTAACAACACTTTTCTCAAAATACATTCTCGGCATCAAGCAACATACGACTGGACTTCCATATCTATCATTCATTGTACTTCAGCTACCCTAAGAAGGGGCATGATCTCAGGCCAGGCAACCTCTGCAGTCAAATAATCCCTGAAGGCACTAACACCAAAGGATGTCTACTCTTAGATCCTGGGGCACAAAAGTTTGCTTGAAATTGGTCCTTAGGCAGCTCATCTCCACGCCTACCACAATGGGTAAATAATATGGCCAGAAAATTGGTAATTATACAAAAAAATAAAGAGAGCCGGGCGCAGTGGCTCATGCCTGTAATCCCAGCACTTTGGGAGGCCAAGGCAGGTGGATCACGATGTCAGGAGTTCGAGACCAGCCTGACCAACATGGTGAAACCCCATCTCTACTAAAAATACAAAGATTAGCCAGGCATGGTGGCACGTGCCTGTAATCTCAGCTACTCAGGAGGCTGAGGCAGGAGAATCGCTTGAATCCGGGAAGCAGAGGTTGCAACGAGCCGATATTGCACCATTGCACTCCAGCCTGGGAGACAGAGGGAGACTCCGTCTCTAAATAAATAAATAAAATTTAAAAAGAGGAAGAAGCAAAAGAAACAATGTTCGGTTTCACTAATAATAAAAGTAATGCACATCAAAATAATGGTAATATACCACCTTGCCTATCAAGTTACCAATCATTTACAATATTAATAAGAGCAAACACTTACAGTGTAGCTGGTATGTGCCAGGTGCTACATTAAGAGCTACAGATCTATTATCTCACGTAATTCCCACAACACTGTAAAATCTGTGGTATTGTTTCAATCTTAATTTTGCGGATGAAGAAAGTAATACACAAAAAGCTGAAATAAGTTGCTAAAGACCACATGATTATTAAGTGACAGAATTGGGGTCTGTGCTCTTAACCAATATCCTCATCACCTCCCTAAAATAATAACTAGTAATCATTGCAGGGAGCAGCAAGACCAGTGCTGGCTAATCTACCACTGGGGAAAGTGCACATAGGGACAAACTTTCTTAACAATAATTTAATAATATTGCCTTGAAAATGTTCGTATCCAATAATCTTACTTCCAGAAAAATTGTTCCAAGAAAATAATCAGAATTGTGGTCAGTTATTTCTGTATAAGAATATTTCTAGCAACATTATTTCTGTTATTGAAGAAAGTTTAAACATCTAATAAATAAAATATGGTACATCCACATGATGAAATATCCTGCAGCCATTAGAAATATTATCTTAAAGAGTATTTGAAGTTGGGGAAATACTTAGGATACAATGCTTAGTTTCTTTGTTTTTGTTTTTTTAAGGCAAGAGGTAAACTAACACATGCGGTCTGGTCCTAAGTATGTACATACATGTGCACACACACACACTAAATTAGAAGAAAATATACTAAAAGCTAGTGGATATATCTCAATAGTAGCATTACAAGTCATTTTTGCTTTATTTTTTCTATTTCTGTTTTTCAATTTTCTGCAATAAATTTAAATTGCCTTCATAATAAGAATAAAATGCTATATGTTGGTATACAACTAATATTGTGATTTTAAAAAAATTGGGAATATTCACCAAAAAAATCCACACTATATATATTAATAGTTTGATAAGTCTGTAGCTAAATCTCACTAGATGGAAGCAAATACTGACATAGAGCCATATTAGTAAGTTGACATTTTGACCATGTCATGTTGAAGGACAAGAAACCTAAACATTTCTTTGGCCAATCTTCTCCAAGTCATCTCAAGGTGTCTTTTTGGGCTGACCATCTGCCTGATCATACTTCGTGGGACTAACAACAGGTGGCTTCTTGGTGAGGTACCTCAAGAATCTTGTCCTCTGAACTCTGATTCTCTATTATCTACAGCACTAAGTTATCAGGGTAGAGATAACATTAGGTAGAGATAATTAGAGCAAGATTGAGATTTTTTTTCAGACAAGTTTAAGATAAACCTAGAAACATTTCAAGTTTTCTTTAAAAGATTACTGTAATGATCAAGAAGTTTTGTTTTTGTTGTTGTTGTTGCTGCTGCTGCTGCTATTGATCTTAACCACAGAACCAGTCTGGAGAATCACTGGTTCACGATAAAAATTAGATGTCTTTGACAAAGAGCTGAGCCACCATGCATATCTGATATCTCTTTATGACATTTTCAATAATGAGATAAATTCAAGGTTATGAGATAACCGCCAGGCCAGTCAATGCTTTCATGTGAACAATTAGTTTTCAAATATACTGCATGTAATATAGCCAATACAATGTAACAAACACTTTTCTGGAATAACAACGTCATTCCTAGATAAAGCACCAAGGTGAAAAGATACACCTTGTTTGTCATATGTTCACCTCCTTCACATACTATTTGAAACAGTAATCCATGTCAGATACTGTTCAGTTTCTCATTCAAACAATCCTAAAATGGTAAAACTCCTGGGAACTGATGTTAGAATTCCTGGGAATGGTGGGATAGGATAAGTTTGTGTATTAACAGCAAACCCCTAGATAATGCTAACTATGTCCCAGGCATGGTTCTAGTACCATTGTATGCATTAACTCATGTAAGCTTCACAACCACCATATGAGGAAAGGGATATTACAGATGGGGAAACTGAGACACAAAATGGTTCAGTAACTTGTCCAGCAGGAAATCCAGGCAGTTTAATGCCAGAGTCCCTACTTTTACCCACTTATTATGCTGCAATCTACAACTTTAAAATAATAATTTAATTTTGGATCTTCAGGGACAGCTAAAAGCAGTAATGTTAGATTACCATCCTGAATTCTGAAATATTGACTCCGGCAATAACATCTAATGTGTCTTAGCAACATGTATACCATTCTTTTCTATAGATGACATTTTTCATAACAGTCAAACAGCCTATGAGATACACGTTCAAGGGAAGTATATTTCATTAAGAGTTTGGCTCTTCTTCACTTATCTACTAGAACAAAAGGATTGTTCCAAGCTCTGCAGGTAAGATGGAGCAGTACTGAACCAGGTGGCATGATCTGCCACCCCGAATTCTTGGGAAGTCAGTCAGTTACGTGGTGCCCACTCTAAAGTGACAAACTCAGGCCAAGAGTGCTGAAGGCTTCAGCCAGCTCTGGATTTTGAGCTGCCCATTGTATTAATCTCTCAACGTTCCCCAGAGACGGGGCCAAGCTGCCTGTTCCTCCCACGTCTGCCAGTGATAACTACTGTGCTCATGATCAGAGTCTGGAAAACTACCCAGAGTGCCAGAAACTGTTTCAATAAAATTGTGAGAGTATGTTGTGGAAAGTATATTTATTACTATTTGGTAAACTTTATCAGGGACATTTTCTATTTTCATTACTTTCAATGGCAAAAACCGCAATTACTTTTGCACCAAACTATACTCTTGAACTTTTTCATCTTTTGTTTTGTTTTACCTGAACTACTACATTTTCGCAAGGCAAAACATTAAAATTGCTCGCTTGTCGATAATAACCCTTTAGTTCTTTCTGTATTCATCCATTCTCACACTGCTACAAAGAACTACCTGAGACTGGGTAATTTATAAAGACAAGAGGTTTACTTGACTCACAGTTCCACACACTGTACAGGAAGCATGGCTGGGAGGCCTCAGGAAACTTACAATCATGGCAGAAAGGAAAGGGGAAGCAAGCATGCCTTCACATGGCGGCAGGAGAAAGACAGCGAACGAAGGGAGAAGTGTCACACACTTTTAAACCATCAGATTTGGTGAGAACTCACTCACTATCATGAGAACAGCAAGGGGGGAATCTGCCCCTGTGATCCAATCACCTCCTACCAGGTCCCTTCCCCAGTATTGGGGATTACAATTCAACATGAGATTTTGGTGGGAACACAGAGCCAAACCATACCAGTTCTACTTCCTAAATTTCGCACTGATGGATCTGAAACATCACCCTATCTCAAGGTTGCACTTTTTGAGGGTAGAATCTGTATTTTGCACCCATTAGTCTACAAGTACATGATGAGTATCACCCCTCATAAACGGAACTAATTTGAAAATGGTGTGAAAATGTCCTGTGTTCCCCTGACTACCAGGCAAGAACAATCGAACAGGCACGATGGCTAGATCCAAATAGAGTCCTACTTCTCAGGTATTTTTGAGACACACTTTAAGGCAATACCCTAGATAGAGTCTTTACTGGGATTACTAAAAATGTCAATCTTGATTAAACCAAGAGGTGCCATTGGAAGGTTTCAAAGTAAACTTTATATATAAAGCTATCCTACAATATAGCTCAGAAAAAAATTAATTTCAGTGTTAACCCAAATAGCTTTGCAGTTCAAGCAGTAAAATCATGTCCAGATTTGCCCCTGTACTCCTAGACATGGCCAAACAATTCCTTCTTGGTAGAGCTGCTCTTTGAAAAGATAAAGAGCTCTGTCTGTCACTGCCAATAAATATCTCTACAGAAGCTCGAATTCCAGGAAGCACTTTAGAGCCCCTAGGAAGATAAAAGCAACTCCCCATTGAGGAGAGAATCTTCAAAATGCCCAGCAGCACCCTGGAGAGCAGCTCAGGAGTCCAAGATACTGGAAACTGTGTTCTGAGGGATTCTTAGGAAGAACCATCCCCCTCTAAGACTCTAAGACCTTGAGGAGCCACCCAGCAGGCCATTTGGATGTTAAGAGGATCTTTTACTTGGAAACTTCTGTTTCTCACTTGGTGAGAGAGTGGGGAAAACATCAGGAGCAAGAAAAAGGAAAAGTATAAAAAGTGAGAAAAGGAAAAACTGAAGGGAGAGCACCCATTATTTCCAGGCAGTATGTGAGACGCTTTACAAGTCTTGCTTCATTTAATCCTCACATCACTGCTATGTGAGGACTGGTATAAACTCCATCTTATGCATGAGGAAACTGACAATCAAAAGGATTAAAAATAAAAAAACTTGCCCTATGTAAAATATCTTGTAAGAGTCAATGTCGGGTCTGTGAATTTTTTGCCATACTACATTGCCTTTCCCATCTGCCTTATTTGTTTCTATATGGCCAGGAATGTTTGCTTTTTTCCCCTTACACATTTTGCTGCATGAGCAGAAAATTAATTATCTTCTTGGAAGTCTACCTGGTGAGACTGGTGTTCTAGAAAAACTGAACTGTCAGCAAAGGAAGAGTCCCTGAAATGCAGTACCCATTGGCATGGCTGTGATCTGGGTGCATCGAAATATGTAAACCTAATTTTCAATCTCCATTGCTCAGCTAATGCCATTGACTTGAGCTTTTTTTCCAGGGCCTCCCTGACACTCGTTACATACATCCTTCAGCTCAGAGCTTCCTATCTCAGTCTTGTTGTTGATATAACAAATAGCTCTACCAGAACATCATTTCCTAATCCCAGACATTTATCACTTCTTTGAATTGCATCTTTACCATTCTCCATCTCTTCTTTTAAGCTTTTAACATAACTTTCTCATGTGCTATATTAATATTATTTTTTCACTTTCATTAAAGGCAGGATTCATAAGCTAAACAACTAAGGAAAAGAAGGAAGGAAGGGAGAGAGATAATCACATTTCCTGAATTTTTGTAGAGTTTTCCCTCCTATGGATCTGTTTACTTATTTAACCATGGAATTTTTAGAAATTGAGTTTTACAGATGTAGTTCAATTCCTTTGCTATATATATGCAGAAACTTCAGCAAAATTATACAACTAAAGGTAGGGTTGAAGCTATTTTGTCACTGTTATGTCACTGAGTTTTCTCCCTATTATGATCGTATTCCCAGAAACAAACCACCTGAGTTATATATACCCAAGGTTTATGATACAGATATTTTGTTAGCTATGTAGATATTATAAAATACGTTACTTAATACTGTAGCTTAAGAAATTATTGCTTTATTCAATAATATCTGTTTAATTTCTAATTATAATAATCTCAAAAGTATTTTAAGTTTAATCATCAATAATATCTTTTTATAGAAGTAAAGCTGGTGTCACTGGAATTCTGAGTAAACTTACAGAAACATAGAATCAGTTTCTCAGGACCTATGGCTGTTTAATAAAATGGCCATAGAAGACCTTCTGGATTCTTTCTGGTTTTCTAAATTCTAAAATGCAATAGAAATAAGAAACACAGTGTTTCCATCTTTAAAGCAAGCAAAGCACCTTAGTGTACATTTCTGAAATTTCTGTTTTGTTGCTTTTCAGTTTTTATATAAACTGTTTTTAAAACTAAAATGGGGAGAAAATCAGATTTTTGCAGAGTGCACGATTCTAAGATGAAAAGTGAAGGGTAGTTGCAAAGGGTGTTCCCTGCTTCACGCTTACTTTGTAATTAAGTAGGGTGAACCTCAAACAGAAGCTGAATAACATGCAGGTGCGCACATGCACGCACACACACACACACACACACACACACACACACCTGACATAAACTACTGCATTCCATTGTCATCAAAAATGTAAAGCTTAGCTGTCCCGAGGGCAAGCAAAATGAGCTTCTCAGCTACTCATCTGGGTTTCAGAATGGCAGCTTGACAAGTGGATACTCTTCAGTACACAAAACAGCTCCACAAGTAAAAACCAGTTCAAAGATGCCCTTTGCAGAAAGACGTCCTTTGCAGAAAGCCAGTTCACTATTTTGACAAAAGGATTATTTAAACACTGAATTAGAGTCGAGATTTGTGAAAGATGTTAGTGAAATTCTCTCCTGCTGCTCCTTTTCCAGAATTTTTTTGTTTCTGGTGCTCTAATTAAATTAATTACATTTTAAAAATAGTTGTCATAATTTTGCGGTGTTACTATTTACCCTTCTTGCGATGTCAAACAGCACCATTATATTGTTAAGAGTTAAGCATATTCTACCCACAAATAAATGTGTGAATATTCTTTGACCCAAAAAGGTTATAAAAGATACTGTTACTGTGCCCATGTTTAGCTATTAAATCTTAGTAAACGATTTAAACAGCTCCATTTGAAGTCATATTAACACAACAAAGATTGTGCATTTCCTGAGGATTTTGACTTGGTGAGCTACTAAAGCAATAGACTTTCTTTCATCATACTGAACTCCTTTTGCTTCATTTTCTTCTTGTTCACTATGTCTTTATATTCTATTTGAAATACAGACCTATTTTATCATTTTCTTGCTTTTGGATTTGCCTAAAAAATTGCTTGCTTCAAAATTGAGATGCCTTTGTTATTCAAGATATGCGCTTCATATATACATGAAAATCAAATATACATAATTTTTTATTTTCTAATATGTCAGCTTGATACATAGAAAAGAGACTAATGTTAACTTCAGGTGCCATGAGCATTTTTCTGTTTCACGCATTTTTGTATTACTTGTTGATATAGTAGCTGTGCCTCTGCTTTTAGTTCCTGTTAATTTATCCACCCTTTTTTCCTGTCTGAGGAAGAAGGAAGTGTTTCTTCTGAAGTGAACATTATATTTTGGGGAGGGTGGTAACTGTGACGTGCAGTCCCTCTATTGCCCATGAAGCAGTTCGAAATTCAACAAAAAAGAATTAGTTTCTAACATACTCAAGCTGACTAATATGATTTGACATTACTTGACACTGAAAATTTATTTTAAAGTGCCATTTCTGTTTTAAGCTACATATGCAGTTTCACATTAGCTGAGGTAAAATAATTCTCACCAAACAAAATCAATTCAAAATTTAGAAATGACAATATATTGAGCATAGTTGTGATTCATTAAGAGAACAGATTATTTAAAATCACTAAAATGAATAGTCTTGACAAATTTTATCCCCATTTTTGCCTTTTTCTAATCAATTACCATGAGAAAATGTTTAAAATCTCAACAAAATGCAAACCAAGCCACTTTTTAACAACAAACAACACACACAATAAAACCACTTCCATATACTGGGTAACACACAAATATTTGTTAAAAACAAAACTATATTATTCTCTTCTATCTTCAAATTTACTTTCTTGAGAGCAAAACTACATCATTGCCTACTTTTCTATACCTCATGCTTTCATTCTTGTAATAAAAACTGCTGTTTCAACCTTTTATTAGTTTCTTGGGTTATTCTCTTTGTCTGTAAGAATCATTCAGCTTCTACTGACCTAGGCAACACTTGCTCATATCAAAACTTAACTCAGGAGTCATCTCCTACAACAAGTTCTCCATAAACCCTAAGAGTAGGTGATTTTCCTCCTATTTGTCCCCATATGACCCCATATTTCTCCTCAACCAGGGTATAAGCTCCTCAAACCTACCACAGTGTCTAGTTCATAGTAGGCATTCAAGGAATGTTTACTGTTTATTAATAATTCTAAACTCGATACCTTAGGTAATAGTAACAGCTAAGTTTTCACTTCTAGGTAGCTGGGACTTACGAATCATTCATTATACATTATTTTTTCTAATCCAGTGGTTCTCAATGTGTGTTCTCCAGACCAACATCAACATTGCCTGGGAACCTGTTACAAATGTAAATTCTTGGCTCCTACCCCAGATCTAACAAATCAGAAGCTCTGTGATTGGGTCTTTTAAATCAATGTTTTAACAAGCTCTCCAGATGATTCTGATACCTGCTAAAGTTTCAGAAATACTGCTCCAACTAGAAATGAATATTTTGTTCCCTAAAAAGAGTTGTTTTATAAAAATAAATCGTGTGAAAATGAGAATTTACCTTCCAAAACAATAAAAAAGATGACCATGTCTTCTAGTTTTGGTCTGCAGGTCCGTGATACAGAAAGGAACAGAACAGAGTATTATTTAACTTCCCCTGCTCTTTGCTTTAGTTGTTCTATGCTAATTGAAGTTGTTGGGAACACACTTGAAACATTATTATACAATAAGAACTTTTTTGTTAATTAGCATTTCTAAAATCCATTCCAAGTCTATTGTCCACATTAAGCGTTGCTGTTCAGTGCACAAATGGTGTCATGAGACAATTACATGCTTGGTATATTGTACAAATTCTAAATCTACTAATACCGTTCAGCAGCAATGAAGCAATTAGCACTCAATTCTGAAGTGGTGTTGTAGAATAGAAGGCTTAAAACTTATCAGTAGTTTTCTACTTTCCCTAATGCTGATTACAAGCCTATATTGATTGCTTCATTTCCCTCCTAACAGTATGAGAGGCTTTTGAAGACCAAACTGTCAGCTTTACATCACTTATTATGAACAAGCTTCTTTGGGAGATGATTATTTTTGTTGAAGAACAATTGTTCAGGTAAGTATTTCTGTAAATCAAACTGTCCCAAAACTTTTTGGCTTAAAGCAAAAACAATCATTTATTTGGCTCACAAATCAGCAATTTGAAAAGGGCTTAACAAGGAAAACTTAGTTCTCCCCCATACAATGACAGCAGCTAGACTGGGGCTGGAGATGATACTTCCAAGGTGGCTGGCTCACATGGCTGGCAATTTGGTGTTGTCTGTCAACGAGAAGTTCAGCCAGAGCCTCCATTCCTTTTCACATGGGTTGCTCCACAGTGCAGCTTGGGCTTCCAAACAGCATGGCAGGTGGAATTCAAGGTCAAGTGTTTCAAGAGACAGAAAGCAAAAGCTTCCAGTATCCTAAAGCCTTGGTCAGGATACCAACACAGCCTGACTTCCACTATATCCTGTGGGTCAAAAAAATAATAGAACCTACCTAGATTCAAGGGAAAAAAAGACAAAACCCCATCTCTTGTTGGGAGGAATCTCAAAAAACTTGTTGCCATCTTTAATCTGCCACAAATTGTTTATTCACTTAAATAGAGTATAGATTTTGAGCTTTTTTTTTATTTATTTTTTTGGGGGAGGGATGGAGTCTCACTTTATCACCCAGGCTGGAGTGCAGTGGCATGATCTTGGTTCACTGCAACTTCTGCCTCTCAGGTTCAGGTGATTCTCCTGTCTCAGCCTCCCAAGTAGCTGGGACTACAGGCGCCTGCCACCACACCAGTTAATTTTTGTATTTTTAGAAGAGATAGGGTTTCACCATGTTGCCCAGGCTGGTGTCAAACTCCTGACCTCAGGTGATCCACCTGCCTCAGCCTCCCAAAGTGCTGGCATTACAGGCATGAGCCACCACGCCCGGCCACTAATGACATTCTGAGACTTCTTTGGGTATATGTTTTTATTTTAGGCCCTTTACTAAAGTGCTCCTAATATGAGAATTTAATCAGGGTGAAATGAAGAAAAAAAATTAAAAACTAAATATATGCAGGAATAAAAAAATACAGTGAAGAAAATGAATACCCACATCACTTTACTAAAACAAGGTCTGTAACAGAACAGTGAGTGACAAATTCATACGGGTCATCTGGTAACCCTATTTCTGTGAGGCCTAGATGAATACAATGTACCTTGGTGGCAAGTGGACTGAGTTCTTGCCATTCAGTTATCATACAGTGTCTGGTTATATAAACAGAACTAGTATCAACTCAAAACGAAAAAGGAAATGTGTACAATTACCAACAGAAATATTTAAATTCTTATGTTTACTCAATGATAGGGGCTTCATTTGCTTTTTGTTTTTTGTTTTAATTGAATTATCCAGAAAACTTTTCCTCAATGCTGTACTCCACATGGCCTTTGGAGCACAAACTAATTCAGGGAAACATTTTAGATGAGCCTGAAGTTCATCTGGTACTTTACCAAATATATCAGAGATAAGGCAAGAACAAGACAATAAAAGAGCAATTTAAGTGAGTGATCACATCCTAAGTAAGAAAAAATTAAAATTAAAATAACAGCCTAATATTAATATAAGCAATTGTAGAGGTAAACATATATTATCCCATGTTGCCAGGAGCTTGCATTTAACTGTGTGGAACGATTAGGAAATAACTTTCTCATGTCAGAGGCAAAAGTTTAGACCAATAAGGCAGGTCTTCTGGGTGTTTGGTTATTGATTTTCTAATCCAATGGTAAAGGTCTGACTTAAAGCAGAGATTGACTATCAGTTAGCAGTGTTTGTTAAATTTCACAAACACACAGTCTAAGAAGCTAAGTAATTTCAAGACATAAATGAACGAAAAGAAAATACATACCTTATACATTTCCTTTAATTTTACAAAGTGACATTTGAGAGCTGTGCATTATTTTAACTATTACATTATTGAGTGGTAATTAATTTGAAGTACAAAAGTTTGCTGGAATCCATGCACAGATGCCTCAGATGCAGTCAACTGCTTCCCTCTTCTGGCCAAAAGTGGAGGGAAGTTTGATTTTTATTACTGAATCTGAATGGAATTGTCTTCATGAGCAGCTCTAAAATCAGGTCTTAAACAATGAAAATTTACTATAGTTTCTATCAGCAGGATAAAATGCAATGTAATTCAGAAAGCATAAGTTAAACTATCCAGAAATTATTTGTAGGCAATTTCATTGAGCTTTTCATTGGTAAAAAATTTTGAAGTGTAAAGAGATTTAAATCTGTGTTTGCCGAACAGTCTTCAGAATAGGAAATGGTGGATTTCATTGCTTTCGGGTCACTGGGGGTTAATATATTTTGATTGTCAACTAAAATTATTCATAGATAGTGGAATGAGCATTGGTGGTTCTTACAGGGAAAAAAATGAGAAATTACAAAGATAAACTCCAGAGATTTCTACCACAGATTCTAGAATAAAATGCAATTTCTCTTCGTGATCTTGCTAAGCTTTGCAAGTGTTATGAAGGGCAATGACAAGATTAAATCATCAGATCAAGAGACTCAAAAATATCCCCCTTAATTGGGATAATTTAAATAATTTAAATCTCCCTGTAGGTTCTAATATAGACCCCGTCCCCCGCAAATGACTGGAAAAAAAATCTGTTACAGAAAATTTCAAGAAAAAATAAACTCTTATAAAAAGGCTTTCATAAAATGTTCTTTGCCTAATTTATACAATTATAAATCTGTATGCATATAGACGAACCTATAGACAAATCTCATTCCATATTTCACTCAAAAGGATAAAGACTGGAAATATATATATATTTAATTTGGAAAGGAGATTATTATATATATATAATATTAATTTGGAAAGGAGAGCTTTATTTCTCATAAAGAGTTGCAGCCTGCAGGGTGGCCAGGCTGTCTGATGGGTTGGGAAGCACAGCGTCTGGCCAGAAGCCAGAAAAGACACTTTGAGGGAGGGGAAATGGGGACAAGAATTTATCCTGAATGGGGCGGCCAAATATACGTATTTAGTGAGCTATAGGAGGTGGATGAATATTTATGATAGGAGAAACATGTGCACATGCAATAGAGGTATATGCTCCTTCATGGGTCCCATACTCCAAAAATGGTGGTGTAAGCATGATCCCAGGGAGTTTTCCACCCTGTGATGGCAAAAGGTGAAGAGAGGGCAAAAAAGCCTCATTTTATGAGGCCAGCATCATCCTGATACAAAAACCTGGCAGAGACACAACAAAAAAAGAAAACTTCAGGCCAATATCCCTGATGAGCATCAATGCAAAAATCTTCAACAAAATACTGGCAAACTGAATCCAGCAGCACATCAAAAAGCTTATCCACCACGATCAAGTTGGCTTCATCTCTGGGATGCAAGGCTGGTTCAACATACACAAATCTATAAACATAACCCATCACATAAACAGAACCAATGACAAAAACCACATGATTATCTCAATAGATGCAGAAAAGGCTTTCAATAAAATTTGACATTCCTTTATGTTAAAAACTCTCGATAAACTAGGTATTGATGGAACATATTGCAAAGTAATAGAAGCTGTTTATGACAACCCCACAACCAATATCATATTGAATGAGCAAAAGCTGGAAAGCATTCCTTTTGACAACCAGTACAAGACAAGGATGCCCTCTCTCACCACTCCTATTCAACATAGTATTGGAAGTTCTGGCCAGGGCAATCAGGCAAGAGAAAAAAATAAAGCATATTCAAATAGGAAGAGCAGAATTCAAATTGTCTCTGTTTGAAGATGACATATTTCTATATTTAGAAAACCCCATGTCTTAGCCCAAAATCTCCTTAAGCTGATAAGCAACTTCAGCAAAGTCTCAGGATACAAAATCAATGTGCAAAAATCACAAGCATTCCTATACACCAATAATTGGTGTAGAGTTAATTTTTGTATAAGGTGTAAGGAAGGGGTCCAGTTTCAGTTCTCTGCATATGGGTAGCCAGTTTTCCCAGCACCATTATTAAATAGGAAATCCTTTCCCCATTCCTTGTTTTTGTCAGGTTTGTCAAAGATCAGATGGTTGTAGATGTGTGGTGTTATTTCCAAAGTTTCTCTTCTGTTCGATTGATCTATATGTCTGTTTTGGCACCAGTACCATGCTGTTTTGATTACTGTAGCCTTGTAGTATAGTCTGAAGTTAGGTAGCATGATGCCTCTAACTAGTCAAAGCATGTTGACAGAGCAGAGAGCCAAATCATGAATGAACTCCCATTCACAATTGATACAAAGAGAATAAAATACCTAGGAATACAGCTAACATGGGATGTGAAGGATCTCTTCAAGGAGAACTACAAACCACTATGCTCAAATAAATAAGAGAGGACATAAAAAAATGGAAAAACATTTTGTCCTCATGGATAGGAAGAATCCATATCATGAAAATGGCTATACTGCCCAAAGTAATTTATAGATGCAATGCTATTCCCATCAAACTACCATTGATATTCTTCGCAGAATTAGAAAAAACTACTTTAAATTTCATATGAAACCAAAAAACAGCCCATATAGCCAAAACAATCCTAAGCAAAAAGAACAAAGCTGGAGGCATCATGCTACCTAACTTCAAACTATACTATAAGGCCACAGTAACCAAAACAGCATGGTACTGGTGCCAAAACAGACATATAGATCAATTGAACAGAAGAGAAACTTCGGAAATAACACCACACATCTACAGCCATCTGATCTTTGACAAACCTGACAAAAACAAGGAATGGGAAAAAGATTTCCTACTTAATAATGGTGCTGGGAAAACTGGTTACTCATATGCAGAGAACTGAAACTGGACCCCTTCCTTACACCTTATACAATAATTAACTCAAGATGGATTAAAGATTTAAATGTAAAACTCAAAACCATAAAAACCCTAGGAGAAAACCTAGGCAATACCATTCAGGAAATAGGCATGGGCAAGAATTTCATGACAAAAACACCGACAGCAGTTGCAACAAAAGCCAAAATTGACAAATGGGATCTAATTAAACTAAAGAGCTTCTGCACAGCAAAAGAAATTATCATCACAATGAACAGGCAACCTACAGAATGGGAGAAAAATTTTGCAATTTACCCATCTGACAAAGGTCTAATATCCAAAATCTACAAGGAACTTAAACAAAGAACCCCATCAAAAAGTGGGCAAAGGATATGAACAGACACTTCTCAAAAGAAGACATTTATGTGGCCAAAAAAATATGAAAAAAAGCTCAACATCACTGATCATTAGGGAAATGCAAATCAAAACCACAATGAGATACCATCTCACACCAGTCAGCATAGCGATTGTGAAAAAGTCAGGAAACAATAGCTGGCGAGGCTATAGAGAAATAGGAATGCTTTTACCCTGTTGGTGTAAAATGTAAATTAGTTCAACCATTGTGGAAGACAGTGTGGTGATTCCTGAAGGATCTAGAACCAGAAATACCATTTGACCCAGCAATCTCATTACTGGGTATATACCCAAAGGAATATAAATCATTCTACTATAAAGACACATGTACACATATGTTTATGGCAGCACTATTTACAATAGCAAAGACACGGAACAAACCCAAATGCCCATCAATGATAGACTGGATAAAGAAAATGGTACATATACACCATGGACTACTATGCAGCCATAGAAAGAAATGAGATCATGCCCTTTGTGGGACATGGATGAATCTGAAAGCCATCATTCTCAGCAAACTAACACAGAAACAGAAAACCAAACACCGCCATGTTCTCATTCATAAGTGGGAGTTGAACAATGAGAACACATGGACACAGGGAGGGGAACAACACACACTGCATCCAGTTAGGGGGTGGGGGAAGAGGGGAGGGAGAACATGAAGATAAATAGCTAATGCAGGCGGGTCTTAAAACCTAGATGATAGGTGGATAGGTGCTGCAAAGCACCATGGCACACATAGCAAACCTGCGTGTTCTGCACATGTATCCCAGAACTTAAAGCAAATTTAAAAATAAATAAATAAATAAATAAAATAGCAAAATAAAAAAAGGCTGACAGCCAATTTAAACATTCTAGGCCAGATGGGAATGGAGTTGGACAGGCAGTCATCAACCTTTAAAACAAGGTAATCAATTTTAAAAATTTGTAAGTGATGTAAGAGCCAAAAAACAAAGCCAAAAGCAAGGTTTTTGAAGTTATAATGCAAGAATAAGAAATTGTTTTAAATAGAAAATTTGTGGAAACAAGTGCTTTGAAATATTGATAAGAAATATAAATCAACTAAAGGAACTCAACTTACTGATTGCAGAATATCTGAATGCAAAGAACAACCAAAATTTGAATCCCTCTGTTTCATATTTACTTTTCAAAAATTAAATTTAAAAACTCCCAAAGAAGCAAATGAAGGATTTAAAATTTACAAGAAAAACTTGCATTGGGTATTCAAGGGATAATAATAAGGAATCAAACATATACAAGTCCTCATAACATTTTATAAAGTAATTTAAAACATTCCTAATAATGAGGGACTTTTCAGTTTCTCTGATGACCCTGACACAGCTATCACCAAAATTAGCTGCTAGCAGATCAAAAGGGGATTTTGTGCATTATGAAAAAGGCAACCTTTCCTTTTTCTTAACTGCATAAAGTGCAATTAAGAAAAAATCATCACTGTACAAATCTGCAGTGACTTGGAGGTGAATGGCACCCCTAGAGTTCTGCAATGCACTGCTTGCACAACTGTATATTTACAATGTGACAACCACCGCGGCATTCCAAAACCCATTAGCAGATCCTCTATGCAGAACTTGCAAAGTTGTGGTTGGAAACCGAGATACGGAAGTCTAAAACATTCAAGAAGGTGGTTACATTTGAACTGAGAGAGTTTTCTTGAAGAGAGCTATGCATGTCCCTGCCTCAAAGGGAGAGGGTTAAGTGTGCTGACTCCTTATCTTCAGCCAGAAAAAAAAAAGAAAAATTAGTAGGGCCATTTGGAGACTGGGCTGCACAGTGGGCGAGGGTCTGACACAGGCCTGAGAAATCTAGTGTGAGAATCCATAACATGTTATCTACCCTGATAGTGGACAAAAGAGACATTCCTCCATTGGAAATAGCCTGGAGTCACAGAATGTGTCTGGGCAAAGAATGTGTGAGGTTTCTCCTATGGACCCAATAAGATCCACTCAAGAAACAGAGCAAGGCTTGGGATGTCTTAGGTCTTCCCTAAGTAGATCCTCCTGGAAGGGAGAAATGCAGTAGAAAGAACCTGGAGGCTAACACTGCTAACAAAATAGACTCTCAGTTTCACCCAAATGCCCAGATAAAAGAAGGCCAACCTCAGTGGCCACAAGATCAAAAGATGATTTTATGCAGAAAAGTGAATTTGTGGGGAAATAAAGAAGCCAACCTGAAAGAACTGCAAATCAGAAATTTCCCATGACGCAGAGGATGGAAGAGTGTCCTGCACAAAAGCCCCATAAGAATGAGACAGCCAGCTGCAGGCCCAACCACAAGGTCACTCAAGGACAGGGAGGGAGAACTTTAAATAAAGTAGAGTATCCAGATTTCACCACTGAACATATTAAAAATTCAATTGAGACTTAAAAAAAAACAAACTAGAATTGTTTTATATTGAAGTAACTCAACTCTCAAGAGACTTTATCAGGCTCAAAGCATAAACCACAGACCAGCAGCATTAGCATCATGGAGGACCTCCTTAGACATGCAGACACTCCAGACCTACTGAATCACAGTCTTCATCTTAACAAAACCGAGTGATCTGCATGCACGTCAAAGTTAAGAAGTACAGTGGTCTTGCCGCTTCTACCTTTCCTAGCTAGCTTCTTATCATTCTTCTTCCTCCCTTCTTCCTTCATTTCCTTCTCCCTCTTCTCCTTGCTTCCAGAAAGAAACGGACCTCACCCTCCAATAGTTGGCACTAACACACACACAGGTCCAGGGGGTTGCTCCCCACTTACCTTCTTCCTGCCTGGAATGATGTTACACCACCAGGAGCTGCAGCAACCATCCTATAACTGTGAGGTAACCAGCATGTGAATTAAAGTCAATGTCCTAAGAATGGCAGAGGAAACAGAAAGAACCCAGTTTTTAGACTGTTGAGCTCCTGCACCAGCCCTAAGCTGTCTTCCTCTGGACTTCTTGATATGTGAGAAAAAATAAATAAATAAACCTGTACTCATTTAAACCACTTTAGTCAGGCATTCTGTTCTTTCCGATTATTTACATAACTGGATAATAAGGTATGAAATCAATGTTACCATTGCTGAGTTAACAGGGAGATCTGAAAAACGGAGAATCGCTTCTGAGAAGTGACCTTCTTCGTTGCAGCCAAAATGTCCCTTTCCCTTTGAAAATTCTGATGAAATATTTTTATCATACACTAAACTTTTATATGTTAGCTATCAGAACTCAACTCTCTCTTTTTAATAGCCATGCCTATTTTGAGGTATTCAAACAAGTTTTTTAAAAGGCATTTCAATCAGAAGAACCCTAAGAAATATTGGCATATGACATCCTCTACAGTGAGACTCACGGAATGTCCTGAGGTAAGACTGTCTGAGAGAAGCTTTTACAGTAATTGTGTAAACTGGAAATAATACAACTTCTTTGGTCCTCTCCCAATAAACACCATTTCCCTTTATCAACACAATAAAGGAGAGGAAATGAGGCATAGCGAATGTGAGCTTGTCCAGAGATCTTCTCTCTTTACAAATGCCTCTAATTTACACCACCACCAATACATTCTTCATTATATTTTTAAAAGCTAGTTGCCTACATTTGACGAATTGTTACAGCTGGTATGTAGAAGAGGACAGAAAAGCCATTATTCAGATGTCTTAGTCATTTATAGGCATTTTGCCATTAAAAAAGAAGAAAGGGAGAAAACCTCAGACAGGAAATATTAGTTATTGGACCACTTCATGATTAATAATGACCTTTTAAAATAATTCTTAATGTTCCACAACATGTGATTCTCAGTGTGGTTGTTTTTGGCATCTGGGGCTGGACAGCTCCTTACCATGTGGGAATGTCCCATGCCATGCAAGATTTTTGCATCCCCAGCACCCACTAACTAAATATCAGTAACACCACCACCCATCACTGTGACAGTATCTGCCCCCCCATTTCCTGTCTTGCCCACACATTTTCAAATATAAGGGGTAACATATGTATTTGAAACCTACTGGGTTAGCACCTGCAGAACAAAAGTAAAATAATCTTCCATCCCAAAATCATGTAAAAGCTTCTTTATACTTGCTTTTTGTCATTTTATAGTTTCATTTCTTACACTAAGATTGTAATCCATCTGAATTTTCTTTTGGGATAAGATCTGAAATAGGGTTGGAATATTATATTTTCCTTTTTTTTTTCCAATACCATTTTAAAGAAGTATCCTTTCTTCAGTGATAAAACACAAAATCAATTTCTATCCTAAGATAAACTTTTCATCATAATTAGGTTTCCTTATGGACTTCTCTTTCTATTAAAAATATGTCTGTTCCTGTGTTGTTATCTTATTATTTTAATTATTAGAACCCTCACGTGTTTAATTTCTAGGAGGCCAAAGAGTGCCTTAGTACCCTTTTTAATCAAAATTATCTTTACTATTCTTATCTGTTTGTTCTTCCTAAGAATTCCAGAATAGTCTGTCAAGTTTTTAAAAGAAATCGCAATAGAATTTGATTAAAACATATTAGATTTATAGGCTAATTAGGAAAAAGTATTATTTTTCTAATGTTAGGTCTTGCCTATGAACAACATAGACAGCTTCCATGTCTGTTCAAGTCTTCTATTACATTATTCCGGGAAGTTTAAAATGTTTCCTGAACAGATTCTACATCTATTTGTATTTGTTAGGTTAATGCCCAGGTTATATTTGGTATTGAATTGGGATTTTGTTTTTATCGTGCTTTCAAACTACTGATTTATTATTAAAGTTTATATATTTCTGCATGACTAGCTAATATGCTATAGTAGGCTTATTCCATAGTCTATGGAAGTTTTCAGATACCTAAGCCTATCATTGACAAGTGATAATATTTTGCCTCTGTCCTCAAACTCATTTATTTTAAGGATAAAAGAACATTGGTGATAGTGTGGGCCTTGTTGTCTTGTTCCTGACTTTAATAGAAATGTCATTGACTATAATGATGGCCATTGCTGGTTTTGGACATGCTTTATAATATTAAAGAAGAATCTTTAATTAGGAGTCACTAGGAGTTTTTGTGGAAAAAATCATTTTTCATATTTTATCTGCTGATGAGATGAATTATATAAATAGATATCCAATTATTTAACCATTCCTTAATTCCAGAAATAAACCCTTAATCACAGCTTGTTATTGTTAATTTTCATGCTGAGATGTATTTACTTTTATTTATGTAGCATTTTTATCTCTATGAATAAACAAGTTTGGCCTGTGTTTTATTTTTCTTTGAGCAAGTTTTGTAAGGTAGCAAGGTTTTGCCATCTTTGAAATACAAAGAGATATTTCTTATCTTTTTGCATCCTCTGGAACCTTTTAAAAAATAATAGAAATATATTCTCAAATAATTAAAAAGCAAATCTTCCATTATTTTGAATCAAGGAAATATATACAATATATTTACATATAAATATATTTTTGACAGCTATTCCATTTATTACAATATTTCAATTTATTAGTGCACATAAAAATTTTGTATAGCTCTCTATGAAAGACAATGCTGGTTACCTATGCAATATCCATTGCTTCTTCTCCTTTGTCAGCATTTTGTTAGGCATAGCACTGTGTTCAACTAAGAATGCTTAATCTCCCAGCCTCCTTTGCAATTAGCATTAGCTGTACAACCTATTTCTGATCAGTGATGATTCAGTGGGGAGAGCTCTTGTCTCAAATCAAAAGGTACAATTGCAAAAAGATAAAGCTTTTGATCTCCCTTCTTTCCTCCTGCAATGCAGATGCAATACCTGGAGGTGTACCAGCAATTTTTTTTTTTTTTTTAGAGGAAGTCTCCCTCTGTCACCCAGACTGGAGTGCAGTGGCGAGATCTCAGCTCACTGCAACCTCTGCCTCCCAGGTTCAAGCGATTCTCCTGCCTCAGCCTCCCGAGTAGCCGGGATTACAGGCACCCACCACCACACCTGGCTAATTTTTGTATTTTTCATAGAGACAGGCTTTCGCCACATTGGCCAGGATGATCTTGAACTCTTGACCTCAGGTCATCCACCTGCCTCAGCCTCCCAAAGTGCTAGGATTACAGGTGTGAGCCACCGCACCTCACCTGTACCAGCAGTCTTGTGGTCATGAGGCTGATAGATACAGAAGAAGCATAGGAAAACAGGAAGTTATAAGAAGTCTTAGTGTTTGACGGTATTGTTGTGCTGCAATTCCAGCCCTAGACTGCTTACTTCTGGAGCTCTTGTTGCATGAGGAAAACAGAAATATTTGTTTATTTAAATCACTCACCACTAGGTGAGGTTATTTGCTTTAAACATAGTTCTAAAAATACACTTTCTTTTTTTTTATTATTATACTTTAAGTTCTAGGGTACATGTGCACATCGTGCAGGTTTGTTACATATGTATACATGCGACATGTTGGTGTGCTGCATCCATTAACTCGTCAGGCTGGTTCAACATACGCATATCAATAAACGTAATCCAGCATATAAACAGAACCAAAGACAAAAACCACATGATTATCTCAATAGATGCAGAAAAGGCCTTTGACAGAATTCAACAGCACTTCATGCTAAAAACTCTCAATAAATTAGGTATTGATGGGACATATCTCAAAATAATAAGAGCTATTTATGACAAACCCACAGCCAATATCATACTGAATGGGCAAAAACTGGAAGCATTCCCTTTGAAAACTGGCACATGACAGGGATGCCCTCTCTCACCACTCCTATTCAACACAGTGTTGGAAGTTCTGGCCAGGGAAATCAGGCAGGAGAAAGAAATAAAGGGTATTCAATTAGGAAAAGAGGAAGTCAAATTGTCCCTGTTTACAGATGCCATGATTATATATTTAGAAAACCCAATTGTCTCAGCCCAAAATCTCCTTAAGGTGATAAGCAACTTCAGCAAAGTCTCAGGATACAAAATCAATGTGCAAAAATCACAGGCATTCCTATACACCAATAACAGACAAACAGCCAAATCATGAGTGAACTCCCATTCACAATTGCTTCAAAGAGAATAAAATACCTAAAAATACACTTTATACCTGTAGTTCAAAACTGACTTTTATTGAGGGCTTACTTTATGATACATATTTCTGTAAGCATTTTAGAAATTTATCACATAAAATCTTCACACTCTCCTACAAAGCAGGTGCTACTATTTATCCTAATCAGTGGTCAGTAAGTGGGTGAAGTTGGTGATGTTATTCTTAATTATAATGCTATTATCATACCTATACTAAAATCATAGATTTATGCTTCCTAATTTTCCTGTTAGTCTTGGGTAGAAGCCTCTCTTTTTTTTCTTTTTCTTTTTTTTTTCTTTTTTTTTTTTTTTTGAGACAGAGTCTTACTCTGTCGCCCAGGCTGGAGTGCAGTGGGGCAATCCCCAATCACTGCAATCTCCGCCTCCCGGGTTCAAGCGATTCTCCTGCCTCAGCCTCCTGAGTAGCTGAGATTACAGGTGCCTGCCACCACGCCCAGCTAATTTTTGTATTTTTAATAGAGACAGGGTTTCTCTATGTTGGTCAGGCTGGTCTTGAACTCTGGACCTCACTCCAGACCTCAGGTTATCCACCCGCCTCAGCCTCCCAAAGTGCTGTGATTACAGGCATGAGCCACTGTGCTCGGCCCGGAGCTTCTCTGTTAACTGGATATTTTAAGAAAATCATTCTTGGAATATTTTTTGTCAAGTGAACTAAAGAATTAACTAAAGAACTAAGAATTAAAGTAAAGCTAATTTTAAATGATTAAGTTGTGATTTTGAGGGAGTTAAATCTTTCTTACTAATTTTCATTTTAACTCTATTATAATAAAACGATTATTCTTTGGGGAACTTATTGAATTATCAATTTTCATGAATATTCCATTGGCATAGGAAGAGGTATATTTGCTTTTGTTAGCCACAACGTTTCATATGTATCTGTTAAATTAACTCATCAGTTACATTCCTGAGATTTTCTGTATGCTTACTTGATCTCATAGAGTAGGAAAGGTTAAAATCTCTGACTATGTTTCCATTATTTCTTCCTTGCAGTTTAATGATTTTACTTTACATATTTTGATGATATGTTATTTGGCACGTAACAATTGTTACTTTTATCATCATTGGGAATCAGCAATATAAAGATGTTTTCTTTATATTAAGTTATTCTTAATTATAAATAATTACATCAAGGTATTTATATTAAGACATTAATATAAAGGTCTTTTGCAGTATAAAGACCTTCTCTTTATTCCACCTAATTATTATGGTCTTGGTCTGATTTTAACGTTTCAAGCACTGATTTCTTTTTTGTTTTGTTTCTTTTCATTTGCCTGATTCAATTTGCGCCTTTGTATTTTTAAGGCATTCATATTTATAGTTACAAAGTTTATATTTGGTCTTATTTTGTCTTCATGTTCTGTTTTCTGTTTTGATGTTTCATTGCTATTTGCTATTTGCTTTATACGTGGCAGTATTTGTCTGCTGCTTTGTCTGATTTTTCTTTTGAAAGGTTTTTTTTTCTTATTTTCAACTCAGTGATTATCCTTAAGATTTTTCTAAACATTTTAACCTATATTTACATAATGGTTAGGATAACAAGTGAAAAATAAATTTGCTTGATTTCTTCTTCTATTTGAAAAACCTCCTCCACCTGCTTCACTCTTTGTGAATTTTATCTCAGACTTTAGGCCCAGATTTTCACTATACAATTTTTAATGTTTATATCTATCTTTTAATAATAAATTTTTACATGTGCCTTTTTAAATTTACAATCTTACACTATTTTAACTGGATCCACTGCCCACAGACTGTGTTTTTAACTGGCTCCACTGCCCACAGACTGTGTTTCCATATTATAGTCATGTTACTGACCTCTGAATTTTTATCATCTTCGACTGGCAAGAATGGATCTGCAAAGCTGTAAATTACCATTACACTTGAAATAGAGTGGACCTCTATAAAACATGCTAAGTTGACAACTTTTTCACCTCAACATTAATACTTTTAATACAATAGGAGAGAAATTTGAGTCAAATTGGTCTGAGCTAATTTTCCTAGGTTATTCATTTTTTGAGATGTAATTTATATACACACAGTTCACCATTGAAAGTCTACATCTCAGTGGTCTTTAGTATATTCAAAAGAATGTGCAACAATAACCACTATCTAATGCCAAATCCTTTCATCACCTTCAAAAAGAAACCCCACTCCCTACTCCCCCTTTTCCTCATCCCCTGGAAATCATTAATATACCTTCTGTCTCTATGCACTTGCTTTTGCTAAACATTGTATACAAATGAAATCATACGATACGTGGCCTTTGTGTCTGGCTTATTTCACCAGGCATAATGTTTTCAATATTCTTGCACATTGTAGCATATAACAGTACTTCATTTCTTTTCATGGGTAAGTAATATTCCATTGTATAACTATATCTCATTTTGTTCATCCATTCATCAGTTGTTGTATATTTGTGTGGTTTCCACTTTGGCTATTATGAATAATGCTGCTATAAATATCCATGTACAAGTTTTGATATAAATATATGTTTTCATTTCTCTTGGGTATATAATAAGAATGGAATTGCTGGGTCATATGATAATTGCATGTTTAAATTTTAAGGGACTGCCAGGCTGTTTTCCAAAGTAGCTATGCCATTTTACATTAGCAACAGCAACATATGATGGTTCTAGTAGCTCCACATCCTTGCTAATACTTGTTAATTTCTGCGACTTTTAATTTATTATTATAGCCATACTAGTGCATGGGTATGAAGTGGTATCTCATTGTGGTATTGACTTGCACCCCAAAATGCAGTTGAGCACCATTTTATGTACTTATTGGCCATCTGCATATCATCTTTGAAGAAATGTCTACTCAAAACTTTTGCATTGTTCAATTAGATTATTTCCCTTTTTATTACCGTTATGGGTTTTTTATATGCTTTATAAACTAGACCCTTATTAAATACATGATTTGCAAATATTGTCTCCCATTCTGCAAACTGTCTTTTTGCTTTCTTGGCAGTGCCCTTTGATGTGCAAAGCTTTTTAATGTTGATAAAGTTCAATTGATATATTTTTTTCTTTGATTGCTTATGCTTTTGGTGTCATATCTAAGAAACTGTTGCCTAATTGAAGGTAGAGAAAATATACACCTGTTTTCTTCCATGCTGGATTAATTTTTATATATAGTGTAAGACAGTCATCCAAATTCATTCTTTAGCATGTGGATATCAAGTTGTCATGGCACCATTTTAAAAAAGACTATTCTTTCCCCCCTTGAATGATCTTGGCACCATCATTGAAAATCAATGGACCAACTGACCATATATGTTAGGGTTTATTTCTGTACTCTCAATTCCATTCCATTGAACGATATATGTCTATTATTTCTGTCAGTACCACACTGGCTTGATTAATCTCACTTTTTAACAGGTTTGAAATCAGTAAATGTGAGTCCTACAACTTTGTTCTTTTTTTCAAGATCATTTTGACTATTCAGGTATGTTTACTATCTCATATGAAGTTTTGGATCAGTTTTCCCATTTCTGTTAAAAAAGGCAATTGACATTTTAATAAATACTGCATCGAATTTACAGATCAACTTGGAGTCTTTTACCATCTTAACAATACAAAGTCTTTTCATTCACAAACATAGAATGTGTTTCCATTCACTTTTTAAATAAAAGACATTTATTTAATGTCTTTCAACAATGACTTTTTGTACTTTTCAGTATACAAATCTTGATTTATTCCTACGTATCCTAGGCTTTTTTTTTTGATGCTATTGCAAATGATTTTGTTTTCTTAATTTTATTTGTGGGTTGTTTATTGCTAGTGAACTTAATTACAAGTGCTTTTGTAAATTGGTCTTGTATCCTGCAATTTGCTACCTTCATTTATTAAACCTAATAGCTTTCCATGAAATTTTTAATGGTTTTCTATATATAAGAAATGGCTTCCTCTGTGTTTTCTATCATGTCATCTGGAATAAAAATAATTTTACTTCTTTCCAATCTGCACACCTTTTATTTCCTTTTCTTGCCAATATTTCCCTAGCTAGAACTTCTAGTACAATGTTTAGCAAAAGCAGTGAAAGTGAACATCCTTGTCTTGTTCCTCATCTAAGGGGGAAGATTTTCAGTCTTTTACCATTGAGCATATTACTAGCTGTGGGTTTTTTGTAGGTGCCCTTTATCAGATTATAGAACTTTCCATTCCTAGTATGTTGCCTTGTTTTTCTCTTTTTTTAACCATAAAAGGGTGTCAGATTTTGGCAAATGCTTTTTCTGCATTTATTGAGATAATCATGTGGGTTTTTTCTCCTTTATTCTATGAATATGGTGTATTACATTGATTGATATTCATGGGTTGTGCCAACTTTGCATTCCTGGGATAAATCTCACATGGTCATGGTATATATTTCTTCGTATAGGCTGTTAGGTGCTGGTGGCTAGTATTTTGTTGAGGGGTTTGTGTTTTGTTTTGGGTATTTTTTTTTTTGAGCTTGTTTTTAAGTATACCAAGATTCTGTATAGCATTGTGGCTGAGATCTAAAAGCAAACCTGTATTTAAATTTGCAAAGCACTTAGATACAGTCTAGTATAGAGCACTTTTATTTTCTTTTTCTCCACCTGAAAGCCTATAGGATTTGTTTTAATGGGTAGTAGTTCACAGAGTAGAATCACAACTTGGAAAACAAATATTTGAAATATTTCCTTTTGTGATGATCAAAGCCCGGAGAGTACAAATAATACAAGGTCAATTATGAATGGACTAAGATACACATAAACTAACAATAATCCATATTCTACTTGCTTTATCATATCCATAACCTAATTTAGATTGTATTTTTATTTAACTTTTTAAACACTTAACATGTTTTATCTGCTAATCTGCAAATGTCAAGCTTTCAGAATATGTGTCTATTTCCTGTATTCAGGCATTAATATTGTCATTTTTTACATTTTTTCACTTTAGTTTTTGATAATAGATTTGTAATCATAGGTTATATTAAAGTTAAAATTTCAGCATCTTTGCTATCATAGTTTTTCCTTTTTTGATTTTGTAATGTACAAAAAATAATATGGTAACAAAATTTTCCCAACATGTTTTCACACAAAAATTTTTGGCTCTTTCATCTTATATTCTTCATCAGTCATCCACTTGTTATTGCACAAATGCTTTAGGGTGTCTTAATTCATTCCATCCACTTTGTTAGGGACAACAGTACCCTTCATTTTATAATACAATGAAAGGAACATTGTATGGACTCTGCCTTCAGGGTTGGAGAAGACACTACAGAAAAAGCAACATTTTCACCTAGTAATGGAAGAAGGGCAGAAATTTGGCAGGTTAGAAGGAGAGAAAGTAAGTATTTCAGTAACATTATTTTTGAAAATAAAAACCATCTCCAAAATTGTTCAGACTAATAACGTCATGATTATTTATTTGGAGTAATATTAGCCCCAACAAAAGCATGGCCTAAATTTTAGACAGAACATGCTGAAGTAAACAGTAATTATCTTGATTTTTACTTTGTATATTCTCTCTATTGGACCAGGAAAAAAAAGCTGATTCTCCTTTAAAATTCTGGGAAAATATTTGCAAGTGACATTTTACAGTTATTTTATCATCAAAGAAATTATCTACAAAGATAGGTGAGTCAGGAAGAGGTTAACCATGCTGGTGTGACATTCTAAGACTGTCAATGAATAATGACTGAAACCAGTGATAACCTGAACTGCAACTTTAGGACACAGATCAGCTTTGACACTATGTGACCTAAAACCAATTATGTTGGATCTCAGTTTTCACATCTACTAAATTAAAAACAAAGATAATTACATTATCTGTCTAGTCTCGTGTAATATAAAAAGTCTACTATTTTAAAATAATTAACATATCAGTGAACTAAAATTCAGATTTCAGGCAATTTTAACTGTTTGGAACATATTGGCCTGTAAATAGATAAAGAATGCCCTATAGCTAGTTGAAGTATTTCCCAAAAGAAATTGCCTTTTAAATAGACTTCTCATAGGCTTGATTATCTGATTTCTCAACCTACAATAAATTACAAAACTGGGGAAGAAGGATCATTCAGAATAAAATACAGAGGGACAAGAGACCAACAAGAAGTTACAGGTGAAGTAGACAATAAATTTAAACTGAATAAATTAATAACTGAAAGTCCCACTAAACTGCATGCTCTGAAACTTATGCAAAAAATCTATTCTGAAGGAACACACAAACAACCCCAGGTACAGTAGACTCCACATAACAAACAAATCCTACTGAAGATGATCTCATAATAAAAGATAACAAGTAATTGAAAGAACAATAATGCATAAAGAAGATACATTTCATAGGATGTGAAAATGGCCATAAGATAAATATATTTTTAAATGAGTAAGGATATAAAGAAGCAATAGAACCATGATAAAAGAACCAAGAATTAGGAAAAAAAAAAAGGTAATTTGAGAAAAGAAACAAGCAGAACTTTTACAAATGAAAAACACAGTTACTAAAATTAAAACTCAGTTTCTGAGTTTTAACCAGCATATTAGAAACAGCTGAAGATACATTTTTCAGATGAACTGAAAAATAGGCTTGAAATGATAACCACAAAATGTAATACAGATTTTTTAAAGGAAGTAGAAAAATGTGAAGAAAAAAATGTTTAGAAGCATGGAAGATAGAATGAGAAAATTCAGCATATATTCAATGGGACCACTAGAAGAAAGAAAGGATAAAATAAGAGGACACCATATTTTTAAACATGATTAAGTATTCTACAATACTAATGAAAAACAAAAGTCTCCTAGATCTAGATTTAAAAAATAATTCAGTCTTGAACAAAATAAATATAATAAAGTCCACACCTAGATTTGTGATAGTAAAACTATAAAACATTAAAATTAAGAAAACAATTATTACAAGCAACTGAACAAAATAAATAACTTACACCAAGAAAAAAACTAGTTAGACTGACAGCAGACATCATATAAGCAGATGTCTGCTTATAATGCCAGGGAATGAAATGATTTCAAGTGATGAAATAAAATAACTGAAACCCTAGAATGTATACTCACCTAAAATATCACTCAAGTGGTAACCTAATAAAGATATTATCAGACAACTGAAAACAGAACAGTTCACTCTGGCAAAACACAAGCAAAACATTAGAGGAAAGATAGATAGATAGATAGATAGATAGATAGATAGATAGATAGATCGATAAACAGTAAACCTACTACAAGTAATTGAAAGGTAATTGAAATGAGAAGTTAATTGGAGGAAATTGAAACCAAAAGGGGAAAAGTGACAATGCAAGAAGCAAAGAAGGACTTCTACTTCCAACCAGGATGGATTAAGAATGAGAGCATTTACCTTCTGCCTTAAATAACTAGAAAACCAGACAAAATGTTTGATGCAACAATTTTTAACACTGAATGGCAGGGAAACACGGGAGGTCAGTGCTACAATTGTCCCAGGTTACTGCCTGAAGAGAATTTCCAAGTTGCAGCACAAGAAAGAGAAACCCAAGCAGGACCCCAAAACCTAGGAGACAGATGGGAGACCAGAAGTGCTGAAATTTGGGGTTGAGAGGGTAGGTAAAACATGAGAGGGAACTAGACGAGGAAAGAGCTCCCTCCAGAGATCTTAAGAAGAATCCCTAAAGACTGTGGCTAAGAACTGATAGGAGGATATACACAAGGCCAAAGAAAGAGCTACCTGTAAGGAGTAGGAGGAATAACCCTATGAAGCTCAAAAAAGTCTGGGAATAATTCATTTTCCCAGAAGCTAATCTGGGAAGATGTCCTAGTATACAGGGCTTTAGGTTAATTACTAAAGAAGGTGTTGCATTAGGAGTGAAGTCAAATTCACTCTAGACCAAAGACTTCTCTGGCACAGTCCTAACAAAGCTTAAAAGCTAGACCACAAAGAATAAAACTAGTTCAAAGTTACTTAATTTCATCCCAGAATCAATCCCAGTAATAGTTGATGGAATATAAAAAATCAACAGTAAAGAACACTAAATTCTTATTGTCTAGTATCCATTCAAAAATTACCAGGCATGCTCTCTCTTTCCAGGAAAAGATCGTATAAACACACTTCTTCCTATTATTCCAACGGGATACAGCTTGAAACCCTGGGCATTATTTGTAAATCAAGCATAAGAAGACTGAAATGTGGAAAGAAGAAGGTAGACTTTCTTGGGATCCAAAAAACAACACAACAGTTGGTTAATTATGTGGATTTTCTTTTTGCTTAATATATACCAGTTTAGGTGCTGGAGAAGCCAGCAAACCAAAAATACCAACAGATGCAGACAAACAAAAGCCCCAAGAAAAGCCTGCTCATTTTCTCTAGCCAAAGGACCTGGAGAGCGGCAGTCAAGCAAGGCAGGAAACTTCTAGACAACTACCACCGTATTCCAGTCAAACACTATGAAAAAAGACATCAGCCCCACGCCCTCCCTCAGAAAATGCTGAGTAGGGAGCTTAGACTTCTACCTTCACTTGACTGTAATGAGGCCAAGCTGGTCCTCGTTTCTGAGTCAGGACTCAGGAATACCATCACTGCCCAGCAGTAATAAGCCCCTCTTCCCTCATGGCATTAGTGAAGGCTACATGGGAAAGGGAATTATTTGAGCAAAAACATTTATGTTCATTTTCTACCTAAAAATGTTAACATCAATTTGATATACAACAATGATTTCCACATTTGCAAAGTTGGGACATTCTACTGATATTCCTTGCCCTTTCATAATTTCATGATGTTTTAAAAATTAAATCATATTAAAATAAATTTGTTTGAACTTTTATTAATAAATTATCATGTATGTAAAGAAGAACAAAAATATCACTCATATACAAATAAAAATTTAACCAATAGAAACAGACCCAGAAATGACACAGATGATAGAATTAGTAAAAGAATATTTTAAAACAGGTATCATAAATATACTTCATATACCCTAAAACTTAAACTATAATAATAATAAAATAAATATTATATATATACTTCATATGTGCAAGAAAGTACACAATAGGATGAAGAGAGAGTTAAAAGATATTTTTAAAGACCCAGATGGAACTTCTAGAGAAAAGGAATACAATATCTAAAATGGAAAATATACTCAATGGGATTAACAGCACATTAGACACTGGAGAAGAAAATATTAGTGAACTTGAACACATAGCAGTAGAAACTATCAAAAGTAAAACACACAGAGAAAAAAGAATGAAAAAAATTAACAGAGCATCAATGACCTGTGAAACAATATTGAGCTGTGTTACATATGTTAAAACAAAAACCAAGAAAAGACAGGGAGGCAGATAATATTTCTCAAGAAATAATATTAATAAATAAAAAATATTTGAATGTGATTAAAATTGTAAACCAACATATCTAAGAAGTTCAGTGATGTCTAAGCAAAAGAAATGTAAGAAACATCACACCAAAATAATCAAATTTTGAAAACAAGTAATAAAAAAATCTTAAAAGCAGGCAGAGAAAAAAGGTGCACTACATAGAGAGGAACAATTAGAAGAACGTAAATAGACCTCTCATCAGAAACTATGCAAGTTGGAAAGCAATGGAGAGATATCTTTAAAATACTAGAAAAACTGCCAGCCTAGAATTATAAACACAAAGAAAATACTTTTCAAAAATAAAGGTGAAATAAATAACTTTTCAGAGTAACAGCAACAGAGTGAAATCATCACTAGCAGTACTGCACTACAAAAATGTTAAGGAAATTTCTTCAAGCAAAAAAAGAAAAAGAAGGAGAAGGAGAAGCAGCAGCAGCAGCTGCTGCCACCTGGAAATTTGGATCTAAATAGAGGAATGAAGAACAATGGAAATGACAAATATGTGATAAATGAATATAAAATACATTTACTCTTTTTTTTTTATTTTTAGATGGAGTTTCGCTCTTGTCGCCCAGGCTGGAGTGCAATGGCGCCATCTGGGCTCACCGCAACCTCCACCTCCCGGGTTCATGCGATTCTCCTGCCTCAGCCTCCTGAGTAGCTGGGGTTACATGAACATGCTACCAAGCCTGGCTATTTTTTGTATTTTTAGTAGCAACAGGGTTTTGCCATTTTGGCCAGGCTCGTCTCAAACTCCTGACCTCAGGTGATCCACCTGCCTCGGCCTCCCAAAGTGCTGGGATTAGAGGAATAAGCCATGGCACCCAGCCCATTTACTCATTTTTTTAAATCTCTTTAAATAATAATTCATGGTTGAGAGAATGACTATGGCTAATGAGTTTAAAACAATAGTGAGAATGAATAAGATCTAGTATTTGATAGCACAACAGGGTGACTACAGTCAACAATAACTTATTGTACATTTTTAAATAACTAAAAGAGTACAATTGGATTATTTGTAACACAAAGAAAGGATAAATGCTTGAGGTAGTGAATACCCTCTTTACCCTGATGTGATTATTATGCATTGTATGCCTGTATCAAAATATGTCATGTACCCCATGACCATATGTGCCAATTATGTACCCACAAAAATTAAAAATAAACAAATAAGTATATATAATTCATGTTTTATGTTAATATAATTAATATTGATTCATGTTAATATAATTCCTATTTTAAAGAAAAATAAAAATGAATTATGAAATTTGTATGTAGAAATAATATAAATAGTAAGAATAGTCCAAAGACTAGAAAGTACAAATGAAGTAGTGTTTTAAGATTCTTAGAATATGTGTAAAGTGATATGGGTAGAAGGGGGTAAGTTAAAAATGTATACTGTAAACTCAAAAGCAACCACAAAAAAAAGAAAAATATATATTTAATAAGCTAATATTAAATAAATGTAATATAAAAAATCTGTTAACTCGAAAGAAGACAGAAAAAGAGAACAAAGGAGCAGAATAATAATAGATGTATTAAACAGAAAACAAATCCAACAAAAATGATGCAATAAATAAAAATGGTCTGAACATTCCAAATAAGAGGGAGAGATTATTAGGTTAGATTTTAAAAAACAAGACCCAATTGTGCAATGTCTACAAGAAAGCCATTTTAAATATAAAGAATACAAATAAATAAAACATAAAATAAATAAAACAAAAGGAGGGGAAATATTACATACCATAAAACATTATATAAATAATACTTGATATCAATAACAGACAAAGAAAATTTTGGAACAAAGATTAATTCCAGGGAAAAATAGGGTTGTTTGTTTGTTTTTTTAATAGTAAAGAGGTCAATTAGTAAAGAGACCAGAACAATCTTAAATTTGTATGCACCTAAAAAAACAGCTTCATAATACATGAAGCAAAATTGATAGACCTGAAAAGAGAAATAGAAAAACCCACAACTACAGTTGGAGATTTTGACACTCTTTTCTTAATAATTGATAAACAAGCAGAAAGAAAATCAGTAAAGATATTAAAAAGTTAATCAATACTGTCAATAAATTTGACTTAATTAATATTAATAGGATATTCCACCCTAAAGCTGAATACACATTCTTTCTAAGCATAAATAAAAAATTCATCAAGATACACCATATTCTAGGTCATAAAACAAGTCACAAATACTGTAAAATGATTAAAATCACAGAAAAATATGTTCTCTGGTCAAAACAGAATTAAAATACAAACCAATGCACAAAAGGTATCTAGCATATTTGGAAAATAAACCACGTACTTATAAATAACTAATGAACCAAAGAAGACATCACAAGGGAAATTTTTTTTTGAGACAGGGTCTCACTCTGTCTCCCAGGCTGGGGTGCTGTGGCACAATCTCGGCTCACTGCAGCCTCGACCTCCCAGGCTCAAGTGATCCTCCCACCTCAGCCTCCCCAGTAGCTGAGACCACAGGTGTGCACCATCACATCACACCCAGCTAATTTTTGTATTTTTTTGTAGAGATGGGTTTTTGTCATATTACCCAGGCTGGTCTGGAACTCTTGGGCTCAAGGGATACACCCACTTCAGCCTCCCAAAATGCTTAGATTATGGCATAAACCACCACACCCAAACTTATAACATATTTTAAACTGAATTAAAAAGACAACGCAGAACATCATAATTTGTCTGAAACAAAATAGTGATTGCAGAGATGTTCAAAGTATTAATTACTTATAAAAGGAGAAAAGTCTCAAATCAATGATCTAAGCTTCCACCTTAGGAAACTAGAAAAGATTAAAAAGAACAAATTAAACCAAAAGCAAACAGAAACAAAGAAACAGTAAAACCAAAAGCTGAAGGCAAAAGAGAGCATCACCACAGATCCTACAGACATTCAAACAAGTAATAAATATTATAAATGTGTGTTCTGAAAATTCCACAACTTAGATACAATAAAAATTTCCTCAAAAACACAAACTATCAAAGCTTCCTCAAGAACGAATCTCCCTATATCTATGAAAGAAATTTACTTTGTAGAAAAAAATCTTTACCTCAAAAAAATTCCAGGATCAGCTGGCTTAGTAGTGAATCCCACAAATATAAGAAAGTAATAGCACAAATACTACACCCTCAAAATCATTTTATGAGACCATAATTAATATCAAAACTATAAGATGACTATGTGGTAAAGAATTTTGTCTTGCCCTAAGAGAGGTCTAGCTTTGTCCACAGCTCCTAGGAGTAACCTCTAAACCCTTAGAATTTACCAAGTGATAAAATTGTCTTTGTTTTCCATGATTGGCCCCTCAGACCACACCTAATAGCTTATGTTAATAAGATGACTCATAGTGGATCCATCAGACTGCATATCAGCCCAGTCTCTAAGGACAGTGGGGCTAAATCAATCAATCATGCCTACATAATGAATTCTGGACATAGAAACTCAGGTGAATTTTCCTGGTTGTCAATACTTCACGTGTATTGTAACACATTGATCTGGGAAGATTAGGCATCCTGAGGACAATAGAAGCTTCCATGTTTGGAATTCTCCCAGACTGTGCCCTGCATGTCTCTTCCGTTGGATGATTTTAATGTATCCTTTCCCTGTAATAAACTGCAACTGTGAGTACAATCACTTTCAGTGAGTTCTGTGAGTCCTAGTGATTGTCAAATCTGAAAGTGATTTGGGGAAACCCTTGAACTTGCTGTTGGTGTTAGAAATCTTGGGAAGACTTTGGGGTCAGGAGGCATATGCCCTCAAACCTCAAAGTTTGACTAACTCCAGGTAACAACATTAGTAGAACAGTGCAAATCACCACCCCTCATAAATGTATATGCAAAAATCTTTAACAAAGTTTGAGAAAATAATCTTAAATATGTATGGTCAACTGATTTTCAATAAAGGTTTCAAGGCAATTAAATGGGGAAAGAAAAGTTTCTTCAACATCAAATACTAGAATTATTGGATAACCATATGCAGAAGGAAGGAAGGACCCTTACCTCACAAAAATGAACTCATATAATCTAATATATAAGCTAAAACTATCAAAAGTCTAGAAGAATGCATATGGGAGAAAAATTTTGTGAACTTAGGTTAAGCACATTTTTTTCTTAGGGTGAGAGATATAGAAAGTATTAACCATTTAAAAAATAACACATTGAGGCCAGGTGTGGTGGCTCATGCCTGTAATCCCAGCATTATGGGAGGCCAAGGCAGGTAGATCCCTTGAGGCTAGGAGTTCAAGACCAGTCTGGCCAACATGGCAAAACCCCATCTTTACCAAAAAATAACAAAAATTAGCATGGTGATGCCTGTAGTTCCTACTACTCAGGAGGCTGAGGCATGAGAATCGCTTCAAACCAGGAGGCAGAGGTTGCAGTGAGCCAAGATTTTGCCACTGAACTCCAGACTAGGGGAACATAGAGACTCTGTCTCAAAAAAATAAAAATTAAAATTAACACATTGAACTTTATCAAAATTTAAAACTGCTTTTAAATTTTAAAGACGAGATCAAGAAATGAAAAAAGCCACAGAACGGGAGAAAATATTTGCAATTCATATATCTAACAGAGTTTATCCTAGGACTACAAAGCAAGTTTCATATCAGAAAATTGATTATTATAAATCATTCATATTAATAAATTAAAGGAGATAAATCTTTGTGTATGCAGAAAAAGTAATAAAATTCAACATCCACTTGTGACTACTAAAGTAAATAAAAAAGAAAGAGAAAACTTAGTCAATGAGGGACAGAATAGAACTTTCTAAACCTGATAAAGGTATATTTTAAAAATCAGAGAGTAAGCATTATATTTAATAATAAAATGTTAAAAGTAATCTAAAGATACCTGCCATTACCATTGATTTTCACACTTTCATGGCTGTCCTAGCCAGTGCAGTAAGATAAAAAGAAAAGAGCAAAAGATGAAAGGAATTGGAAAAACAGAAAAAAAACTTATAATTACTCATGACTGTTTTATTTTCTTCAAGAAAATCCAAAGACATCTACAAATAAGTTTTATATTGGTGATGGCACAAACAATTTGGGGACAAAAAATCAGTGCAAAAAATTCAAATGCAAATGTTTACACCAGCAACAATCAAAAACATAACTTTTTAATGTGTACAATAGAAATTAAAATAACATGTATCAAGAAATAAATTCAACAAAATACAGGCATGCCTTTATGGATTAAATTATAAGGTTTTATTGAGAGACATTAAAGATTCCTAAGCAAATAGACAGATATCCCCTGTTGTTGAGTAGACCCTATCATGAATATGTATATTCTCCCAAAATTAATCTGTAGAGAATTCAAATTGAATCCCAACAGGATGTGCCATTGTTATTATTATTTTTGAAATTAAAGTTGATTTTATAATTTATTTGTAAGAACAAAAGCCCCCAAATAGCCACCAAGTTGGAGAGGAATGTTAAGCAAATGGATTTTAAGATTTACTATAAAGCTATATAACTAAGAACTGTAGTCTATATATATGCACAGATAAATAGACCCATGAATGGAATAGAAAGCCCAGAAACAAATGCATGCAAAAATGGTTTGTAATGACATATAATACATAGGAAACTTCAGATCACTGGGAAAAAGATGAGGTATTCCAAAGCTACTAGGCATTTTAATTACCCTTGTCAAAAACTGTTATCTGATTCCTACATCACACCATGCATATATCAAAAAGAAACAAATAGTTACTGGTTGATTGACAATCAATATGAAAGGCAAAAACATAAAGTCTTTAAAAGATAATATAAGAAAGCATCCTTATGACCTAAGGTAGAAAGTATTTCTTAAGCAAGACACAACATGAATCTATAAAGAAAATATTGATAAATTCAGCTACATTAAAAAGAAAGATGTCCGGTCATTAAAAGTTACCATAGAGTAAAAACATAAACTCCAAGCTAAAAGAAGATATTTGTGACACATTATTGAAAAAATCTTATATAGAGAATATATAAAGAATCCTGTGGGCCAGGCGTGGTGGCTCATGCCTGTAATCCCACCACTTTGGGAGGCCAAGATGGAAGGATTACTTGAGGCCAGGAGTTTGAGACCAGCCTGGCCATTATGGCAAAATACCATCTCTACAAATATTTGTTTAATTAGCCAGGTGATATGGCTAAGCTTTGTGTCCCCACCCAAATCTTATCTTGAATTGTAATCCCCATAAGCCCCATAATCCCTACATGTGAAGAGAGAGACCAGGTGGTGGTAATTGAATCATGGGGGCAATTTCCCCCATGCTGTTCTCGTGATAGCGACTGAGTTCTCACAAGATCTAACGGGTTTATAAGGGGCTCTTCCCCCTTCACTCGGCACTTCTTCCTACTGACTTGTGAAGAAGGCGCCTTTCTTTTCCTTCGCATTCCACCATGACTGTAAGTTTCCTGAGGCCTCCCCAGCCATGCTGAATTATGAGTCAATTAAACCTCTTTCCTTTTTAAGTTACCCAGTCTCGTGCAGTTATTTATAGCCAGGTGTGGTGGCGTACACCTGTGGTTCAGCTACTCAGAACGTTAAGGCAGGAGGACCACTTGAGCCTTGGAGGTCAAGACTGCAGTGAGCCATGATCATGCCATTGCACTCCAATCTGGACAACGGAGCAAGACCCTGTCTCAAAAAAACAAACAAATGAACAACAACAACAACAACAAAAACTAAGAATCAAGAAAAAAAGACAACCCCAAATTAAAATGACTTAGCTCTTCATAGAAGACAAAAAACGTGTGTGTGTGATTTTACACATACATATGTATATACACCAAAAAGTGCTCAACCTCACTATATCAATAGTAATCAGAGAAATAAAAATTAATCACAGTGCAACATTATTTTATACCAATGAATTGAAAAAACTAAAATCAGACAACACAGTGTTAACAAAGTGTAGATATATAATATATGCTGCTGGAGGTCGTATAAATTGGTACAACATCTTTGGAAAACAGTTTGACATTACCTAATAAATTTGAATGTGCCTACCTTACGATTCAGTGAGTCAACCCCTAAGAGTATACTTAGAAACTCTTGCACATGCATACTAGAGTATTCATACAAACATAGTCATAGCAGCCTTGCTCATAACTGTAAAACCTGAAATGGCTATAATACCAATCAACAGTACAATGGAAAAATAATTTATTATATTCACACAATGAAATAGTACGCAGCAGTGAAAATAAATTAGTTACATATATTTACACCAACATAGATGAATCAAAAACATAACATTGAACAAAATAAGTTAGAGAAAATTTGTGCAATTTGTTTTCGTTATGTAAATATCATCAATGGAGGCCAGGTGTGGTGGTTCACACCTGTAATCCCAGCATTTTGGGAGGCCGAGGCAGGCGAATCACTTGAGGTCAGGAGTTCCAGACCAGCCTGGCCAACATGGTGAAATCTCATCTCTGCCAAAAATACAAAAAATTAGCCAGGTGCAGGGGCATGTGTCTGTAGTCCCAGCTACTCGGGAGGTTGAGGCACAAGAATCGCTTGAACCAATATTGTGCCACTGCACTCCAGCCTGGTTGACAGAGCGAGACTCCGTGTCAAAATAAATAAATAAATAAATAAATAAATAAATATCATCAATGGATAAGCCTAAATCATATATTATTCACATAATAGGAAAACTATAAAGATAAAGAAAAGCAAGGAAAAAGTGAACACAACAACCATTTTCCTGTGACCATTGGGAGGAAAGGAGAGGTTGGGAGGAGAATGAATTCAAGAAGGGTCGGTTACAAAAGTAACATCAAGGCTATATTTTATGTCTTGACCCGGGTAATCAATTTGTGGTTGCTCTTTTTATTATTACTCTTTGCACTGGACATAAACTTTTGTGTATTCTTTTGTATGCACAATAAATTTCACAATAAAAAATAAACCAAAAGTTAAAAGCCCAAAACAGAATACATATTTTCAATAAGAAAACAATAGTGTGTGTATGTATGTGTGTTTATGTATATATGTTATGTGTATGTGTGTGTGTGTGTGTGTGTGTCACCCAATCAGACTAAAACTTCTATAAAATCCTAACAATGAAAACTGTGGAAATAGGGTAGGAATAGACAAAAAAACTAAAACAGATTATCTAAGAACAAATATAGCCTAAAAACAGTCCCATGTATGTGTGGAACTTGTTATGTGATAGAGGGACATTGCAAATCTCTGGGGAAATGACTCAATAAATGGTACTCAGACAATAAATACACAAACAGAATGGTTAATTCTTATTTGGAATAACATATGTGTCTTCCCAGAGAGCAGAGAGTTACTGATGAATGCCCCATCCTTGGGGTCAGGGGGTTGCATTTCAATCCCTCCTCCGGGTACCGAGAGTAAGGGCCTGAGTCCCTTCACCTCCCTGCGACTCACTTCACTCAGCAGTAAAATGGGGGTGATAGAATGATAGTCCTTGCCTCATGGCCTTGTTAGGATTAAGTGAAGCAATCTACTTCTAGTATTTAAAGAAGCGCCTGCCCGTGGACAAATACTCAATAAATGGCTAGCTCCCAACCTTATTCAACAGTAAGTTTCCAAAGTTACGGACTTAATGTGGTAAGAGGTAAAAAAGGCTTTTAAAAATCATTATTTGTTACTTCTCTGTCTCAAGCAACTGACTTTGACTTTGAACAGCTTGAGAGTAGCAATTATGCCTATCCAACTTCACATATTCAGTACCTAACACAAAATTTGCCACGTAATAGATGCTCAAGAAATAAGACTTTGTGTTGATTTGAACTAAGCAAAGAAAAAGTAGCATTACTAAAAAAAGGAGAAGAGTCATTGTGGGTGTTGGAAAATGCCACCGCTTTTCATTACTGTGTGGAGAAAAACAAAGCAGTGTTCTAAAGGACAAATATAATGGATTCCCAAGGTTATGCTACTGTGAACTTATGCCACTGTGGAAGAGGAATTAGAATCAGTCATTCCAAAATGTAAAATACCATGGAAGATAAAGACATAAAACAGAGTATGCTTTAAGCGAATAGCCCAATTAGCCAAACACCAGGGAGAACTTAAATCAGAATGTACCTTTATATGAGAACAAGCAGCGATGATTAATATTGAAAGGAAAAAGGAAAAAGCACCAAAAAAGTACAGCAATTATGCAGTAATGTGCTATCTCATAGAAAAATCACAAAAGAAAAATCTATAGTTAAATGCATCCACATAATTTATTTGTGAGATACTTGTAGATTTCCATAATTAACATAATCCATATCAGCAAAAATCAAAACAGATGAAAAAATGTATATTGTCCATCTTCAAAGAATATCTGTGCCAAATTAGCAAATGTTATAGCAAAATAATGTTCAGGGTTGCTTAATTCTAATATTTTGATAATCACTGATTTGTGGTTTCATCAAAATTCAATGTCTTGGAAGAAATGTGAGTTTCTTAGTGAATTAATTGATATCATTACTAAAAATATTGAAGAAAATCTATTTTATTTGAAATTCACATCATAGACATTCCTTCAGGTGACATAAAAAATTTCATAATCTTTCATTTTTTAAATGAGATTTTTTAAATCTACAATACATAAAAATTTATAGCAACATTTTCAAAAGTTTGTCTTCTTTTAAAAATATATAGCCAAGCAGTTTAAATGTCAGGAGAACTATGATGAGATATTTCTCTCTAAAAAGGTATATTTTCAATTTCATGACCAAAAAAGAGAATCTAAAAAGCTCTGTTGATTTTGCTTTTTCATGATCATTCCAGAAATGATGTACTGTATATCAAAACTACATCTTCCAAGCTATTACATTTCACCATCTGGTTAACCTTATCAGTAAAGCACTAGAAAACAAATTCCACTCATTAGAATTTCATCCACTCTGCAGAGTTATCCTGACTATAAAGAGTTGCCCAAAACTAAGATAAATTATTATGGAGAACAGAAATGGGCTACATTAACTGTGCATGATTGGATTCAACTAGAAGAACTGAACCTATAACAAATCTTATCGTGTAATGCTGGTGATAGTGGCACAAATATAGATTAGAAAATGCTGGTTTACCTTTACCCAACACAGCATAAGTTGACTGAAAATATATCCAGATACAGACACATTTAGACTTTTAGAGTTTTTAAAAATAAGTATGTTTGAGCCACAAGGGTATCTTCATGTTCTGTAACACTTCTCATACTCTTCTCTGTTTCTGAAACAAGACAGATTTGATGCAAAAATTATTATGATTCTAGCATAGTGACAAAACTAACACCTCCATAAGTAACAGAACTCATGAAAATTTAGGACCGAATTTAGATTTAGGCCAAGAGCCTAAAACACTATTCAAAGTATGGTCTTAGGAAATATATATTTTAGCCTGAAGAGTTTATAGAATAGTCCCAGAAGGTTTCACTGGTATTACATAGAAGCTAGCATCCACATGCCTATACCCTTTTCATCTTTGCCTGGATTAAGTGCAGGCGGGAGGTGGCTTTACAACTGAAATTGTGGCACAAGAAAATTATTTGTGGTCTAAAATATTATGAGGATAATGCTCAAAGAACAAAGACTCAGTAAATATTCATGTTTGCTTTGAAGAATGTAATGATCATGGCTATGATTATGACTTTTGGTAGTTCAAAAGCTCTTCTCATTTCTCTCCACACGTTAAGAAATCAGTTTGGAGTTTCACCCACAAGAGTATTCCATGCCACTCCTCACAGTTTTTCCTTTCATTCCCATAGAATGCCAAAAACTTTCAAAATGCATTACCATGCAAATGTCTTGGGTGCCTTTACTACACATTTATATTGCAAGGTAATCAATAAACTATTATTTCAATATTTATTGGAATCTCAGAATAAGAAAGAAGATAGATTACACAAATTCATCTTCTGTGATTAATGGATGTTCCAGCAGAAGGCATACACTGATGGAGTAGGTCAGTATGCAGACTATATTACTGAATATTTCAACTCGGGCTGTAAATATAGTATCTGTTTCTCTTAGGGACTGTCACACTGAGTGCAGTATAAAAGGCAATAAATTTCAACAGATTAATTAACTCTTTGGTTACTGGGGCTGTGTGTCACCTATCCTGGCACCTAATAAAAATTCCTTTAATGCCAAGACATAAAGAAGGGCCTCTTTGGAAATGAGTTATTAACAGCATTTCGTGAATAGATGGAGAAATTGTAGCCGAGCCATTTAAGTGTCATAAAGTGCAGCAAAGGCTGCTGGAGGCCTCTGAGGGACGCCAGGCAATACCATAACAATCAAATCTGAGATGGAAGAGGGATTGAGCTGTCCACTCAGAATTTTTATATTGTCAAAGAGCAGCGAGGAAATAATGTGATCAAGAAGTGAATTAACCTTGTGTGTGAAAGAAAGGGGATGATCTGATGGAAAAGGCAGTAAAGTAAAAATCACTCCATAATGCCTACATTGCAGCAGAGCCATGAGGGGCCCCTAATGTCTGCAGGCTGTCAGAGAGCAGATCCAGACCTCTAAGTACTATAAACCCATTACCTGCATTAGCCTATAATTGGAATACATTTATTCATGCTTTTTTAGTTCTTCAGGGTCTCCGCATTGTATACCCACAGAGCATTAATTCCTATAAATGTTCTACCTTTGCACACTCCTGAAAATGGCTATACAGTCTTGGGTGGAAATTAACATTCAGTGAGAGAGGAAGAAAGTGCTGCATATGTAGTACAAGGTTCATATCCATTATCCAGCTCGTACTATGTTGTTTAATTTAGCACCTGGGCTACTCCACCCAAATAATCTTCGGATGCTTTCTGATGAATGTCTAGATATCACATTTTTAATATTTTTCTATTTCAATGTAAGAGCTCCAACAGGCAGAAGATAATAAATATCAAATACTAACCCATGTTTTTTACTAATGGTCAGATAACTATCTTTGAAACTGTAAATTTCATTTCATCTCTTGAGGTTGCATCTCAATATATGGCACTTTTTATAAAGGTCCACACATAATCCAAAAAGCATGTAGAAATAACAATAAAATTTAAATCAATAATTTCTTTCTGAAGATAACACTTCGGCCTAAGTTACTTAGGAGAATCAAACCCAGCAAACACTAGCAAGTAGGTGCCTCAGACATACAGCATTTTCCCTGTACCAGCGCTGCTCTGAATACTTTACGTACATTAACTTAGGTCACTTTGACAACTCTATGAGGCAGGTATTGTAATTACTATCTTCATTTTATTGATGCGGAAACTGGAGCACAGAGAGGTTAAGTAAATAACCCAAATATCCCAAGTTCACACAGCTGATTTAAAAATCTCTGTCTAGGGGTCTGGGTTCTTGGCCACTTTGCAAAATTGCCTTGCCAAAAAAATAGTTAACAGACCCAACATACAAATATTCTATTTGTATTCTACTAATTAATCTTAAAGTTAGGTATGACTATGCATAGATGCGTGTGTGCATGTTGTTTGCAGGGATTTTACTCCTTCCGCTGTCCCTCGTTCCTCCTGCATTATCAATCATTCTCTCTGTATGGGAATGTTCCCACTGGCATAAGATGTGCTCTAATCTCTCCTACTCTTACTTCCATCTCCTTGATCCAACACCCCACTGTAGCAACCCTTGCTCCTTCCCAGGACAACTTCTCCAAGCAGTTGTATTTACACACTGTCTCTACTTCCTCATGTCCTATTCACTCATAAGCCCCTTAGGAATCTGCCTCTTCCCCCACCACAGAAACTACTGTGCTAAACCCAAAGGTCACTTTTACATCTTCATTCTGCTCAACCTTTTGGCAAATGGGAAACAATTACCACTCCCTCCTTCTTGGAAATTGCTCCCTTTGTGGCTTCCCTGGCAACATTACTTTCTGCCTTTCTTCCTCCTGACCACTTTTCTGGTCTCCCTTCGCTGCCACCTCCTCCTTTCCCCAAGCTAGGGTATGGGGGTTCTTCAGAGCCTGGCTCTGGGCCTCCTCTGCCACTTTTCATCCACACCCCCACAGTTGACTAATCCGCTACATGGATTCAAAACTCATCTTTTGGCTCATTATGCTTATGTCTTTACCTCCTCTTTTCATTCCAAATGTAAATATCCAACTGCTCCCTGACATCTCAATTTAGATGTCTGACAGACCTCTCAGCTTTAACATATAGAATAGAACTCTTGACTGGGGGTGGTGGCCTATGCCTGTAATCCCAGCACTTTGGGAAGCCAAGGCAGGTGGATCACCTGAGGTCAGGAGTTCGAGACCAGCCTGGCCAACGTGGCAAAACCCCATCTCTACTAAAAATACAAAAATTAGCCAGGCATGGTGGTGGGCGCCTGTAATCCCAGCTACTCGGGAGGCTAAGGCAGGAGAATCGCTTGAACCCGGGAGGCAGAGGTTGCAGTGAGCCGAGATTGTGCCATTGCACTCCAGCCTGGTGCAGTGCAATGAGACTGCACTGTCTCAAATGAGATAGACTGTGTCTGAAAATAATAATAATAAATAGAATAGAACTCTTAATTTTTCCACACAACTCTGGTCTTCCCACCAAAACAAAACAAAAAAAGATACTACATTCTATGCAGTTGCATAAGCCAGAAATCCAGGTCATCTTGGTCCTCTCCATTTCTTCTCATGCTTCACATCCAATTCGTCAGCATGTTCTGTTTATTCTGATCTGTGTCATTTGTCTGATATTGGTTGAAGGGTGGATATTTTATCCAGCTCTGACCACCAGGAATGAGGGGAAGATTTTCTTCATCTATGAAAAGACACAGGAGGAAATGCCTGTCTGGCCCAGGGGATGGCTGAAGCTGCTGCTGCTTTGTGGTTCTGTGAGGAGACATCATCGACATAGCAAGAATAACAGAGCAGAAAGATGGTGAGGACCTGGGTGTTGACTGGGCCACTGACTTGACCAGTGCTGCGGGTATACTACCTGTGCACCTCTTATTATGGGACAAAATAAACTCCTCATAACTTTAGTTGGGTCTTGTGTTATTTGAAGCCAGAAGCAAACTAAGTGCCACTTCTCTTCTGTATCATTTATCTGCATAACAAATTACCTCAATATTTAGTGGTTTAAAATGACAATAAATATCTCCCAGTTCCTTTGGGTCAGGAATTCAGAAGTGGCTTAGCTGGGTGGTCCTGGTTTGGGGGGTGTCTCATGAAGTTGTAGATGTGATGTCGACTGGGGCTACAGTCAATGGAAGGCTTAACTGGAGCAGGTGGATCCACTTCCACAGTGGTTCATTCACATTCACAAATTAATGTTTGCTGTTGGCAGAGGCCTCAAGCTCCTTGCACATGGGATTCTCTGCAGGCTGCTGCAAGTCCCCACAACATAGCAGCCGACTTTTCCCAGAATGAGAGATCCAACAGCAAGCGAGTCACGTAGAAGCTGAAGCTGTTCTTTTTAATGGCCTAACCTCAGAAATCACATAGCATCACTTCTACCACATTCTATTCACTAGGAAAGAACCACTGAGTCCAGCCCAGATATAAGAGATGGACATTAGGTGCCATCTTAGGAAAGAATTTGCAGACGTTTTTACAATTTCTTTTTATTTTTTAATTGAAAAATAATTGTGCATACATACTTATGAGGTATACAGCGATGTTTCAATACATATAATGTATAGTGGTAATTATTTCAAAGCCACCACATACACCTTTTCTCACTGCATTCTAGTCCCAGTCATCTTCTTTCAGTTCCTAGAATTTGCTAAACTCCTTTTTACCTCCAAGTTCTTTCACATGTCCATACATCTGTCTGGGAGGTTTCCCTCCTGGCTGACCTTCCCTGAATACCTTGCTTTCGCCACCCCATTAATCTCTATCCTTGTCCCCTGCATGTTGCATGATGGAAGGGCCAGCTGTTGTCTAGTTTACCATTATATGCCCAATTCTTAACACAGTGTCTGGCAGGTAGCAGGCACTCAAAAAATAGTTACTGAATGAATGAATGAAAAAAGAATATAAGTATGCATCCACAAAATGTTTTTAGAGAGCTACAAAAACCATTCAGCAAAATCATTCAGGCGAAAATGTCTAACATGATAAGGTGCTTAAGAAGTTTAATATGGAAAGTGACATTCTAGCTATCTTTTGAATATTTAAAGGGCTATCATTGGGGAAAAGATTAAATTTATCCTTTATTATTCATGGAGTAGAATTAGAATGAATGGTTAGAAATTATGGGAAAACAGTTTAGTTGAATAAAAGAAAGACCTTTCTAACAATTAGAGTTATCTAAAAAACTGAAGCCAGTTGACTTACAAGACAGTAATTTTCCTATCATTGGAAATGTCCAAACATATATTATAAGACCACCTGCATATCATGTCAGAGAAGAAATTCAGATATTGGATACCAAATGGACCAGATGGCCCTCAGACCCTCCCTTTTTTTTTTTTTTTTTTTTTTGCATTCTAGGATTCTGTAATACAAGCCTTAACAAAATATACATTTATCTCAGTTCATTTGTGGTTTTATAACAGAATGCTAAAGACTGGGTAATTTATAATAATAGAATTTTATTTTATCATAGTTCTAGAGGCTGAGAAGTCCAAGATCAAGGCAGTCGCAAAATCAGTTTCTGGTGAGGCACCATTCCTCATTGATGACACTTTGCTACTGCATTCTCACATGGGGGAAGATGGAAGGGAAAGGCAGTCAGGTAGCTCTCTGAAGCCTCTTTTACAACGGCATTAATCCATTCATAAAGGCTACACCTTTGTGAATTAATCACTTCCCAAAGACTCTCATCTTTTAATACTGTCATATTGGGGATTCAGTTTCAACACAGAAATCCTGGGTGGGACAAAACATTCAAACCATAGCATATTTTAAAAGTTCTAACAACTTGGGGAACATAACAAAGAGATAAACATTCAAGAAACATTTAAGGAAAAAAGAAGACTTCTCTCTATACTGTCATGCTTTGGGAAATCTTGTTTATGCAGAAAACAAAAAAAAATTTTAACGCTTCTATTTCTAATTATTATAATAATGTATTTATTTTTAAAATGTAAATATTGTCATATATTGATGTAATATAGGCATTGACCTCAGAAGAGCTAAAGAAATTTTAACTGAATGCTTAACTATAAGGCATATTTTCTGATTTCTCTGGTTTCTAGAAATAATAAACTACATAAGTTTTAGTTTCTACCCCTGCACTAAAGCAATTTTTAAACCCTGCAATAAAAAAAAAAAAGATTATTCTTTAAGAAATAACAGAAATATCCTTTAATAGGTGAATACACAAACAGTGGCACATCCATGCCGTGCCATGCCATGCCATGGAATTTTATTCAACAATAAAAAGGAATGAACAATCAAGCCAGCAAAAGACATGTAGGAATTTTAAATGCATATTGCTAAGCAAAAAAAAAAAAAGCCTATCTAAAAAGGATATATACTGTATGATTCCAACTATATGACCTTCTGAACAAGGCAAAACTATGGAGACAGTAAAAAGATCAGTTGTTGCCAAGGGTTCAGGGGAAGGAGGGATAAATAGGTGGGGCACAAGAAATTTTTAGGGCAACAAAACTACTTGTACAATAGTGTACTGATGAATACATGTCACTACACATTTGTCCAAACTTATAATGTAAAAGAGTGGACTCTAACATAAACTTTAGTTAATAATAATGGATCAGTATATGGGAACTCTGTACTTTCTGCTCACATTTTGTGCAAATCACTACACAGGTTCCATATTATATATATATATGCAATATATATATTTTATTACATATATAAATCATTGCAGTGATATTTAAGTACAAATTGTAAGAAACAAGTACTAAGGTATTTGAATCAGGCAGAGAAAGAGGCAATAATTAGGTGTAAAATAGTTGATCCAAACTTTGAAGGATTGTAGAATTTGGAGAAAAAAAAAAACAGAAAAAAAAGATACAATCTAAGCTACTGAAACAAAACAAAGAAAGGCACAAAAGGGGAAACACTACTAGTAGGGGTACTTCTATCAATAATAATGAATATTATAAATATTCATATATGACACTGAAGAAATTGGCCTTGATTGGGCTTGTGATTTATTATGAATTCAAAAAATAATTTAATTGACCAAGACACTGTGATAGGGTCACAACGTTTCCAGATGTTCCTAGTCATCAATTCTGCCCTCCAAAGGCTTGCTGGATGGCATGTGTTGCCACTCTTCAAAGTCATAAAGATGAGAATTCATGATTTCATAAAACAAAGAGTAAATCAAGGAAGTAGGGTAAACATTTGGACAGCAGACTGCACAACTCTACCAACCCCCACTACTGCTAGTCAGGCAGAACTTTCTGGCTTAGGTGTCAGCACAGCAGCCCCACTCCTACCTGAACTCTGCCAGGTGACACAGTTCTGTGTTCTTCTGGGAAACACCTGGACAACAGTCCATGCTATTTCATCCACCCCTGCTGCTCCTAGCCAGACAAGACTTATTGGTATGGGTGGCACCCAAGCAGGGGAGGAGCCCCCACTCCCAGAACACTGAGAGGAGTGAGACACGTGAATTCATGGGCCGATGGGGGAACAAGATATGCCTCCTTCTGCAGGGCCATCCAGGAAAAGGTATGGCCTGTCTGCCAACCATGGCCTCTCCCTGAGGGAAAGAAACGTGAGTGTGGCACCAGTTATCAGAGGAGGCTCCTCCAAGGCTCTGGAGCAAACCTGTAAAGATGTCATCTCTCTCCCCCGCCATCATACAGCACTACCGAGAACGTGCTAAAATACAAAAGAGCCACATGACTGAGAAAGAACCTATCTGCCAGCCTTCACTATTAAGTGCCATCTACTGGATCACAGTCCAAATTACAATGCCAAAAATATTTTGCCAGTACACAGTGTCTCTGAAACCCTAGGCAAAAATCCAGCCACAAATAAAGATCCTATATAGAGCCTTGCACTCTGAAAGTACCTAGAAATGAAGCCAACTGACTATATTTATCTTACATCACAGTTAAAGGAACACCAGCTCTCTCAGATGAGAAAGAACAAATGCAAGACACTCTGGCTTTTTCCGGCAACTGAAAAAGCCAGAGTGTCCCCTTACCTCCAAACAAATGCACTAGTCCCCAGGCAATAGTTCTTAACCAGACTAAAATTATTGTAATGACAGAGATAGAATTCAGAATCTGGATGGCAAGGAAGCTAATCGAGACCCAGGAGAAAGTTGAAAAACAATCCAAGGAATCCAGTAAAATGATTCAAGACCTGAGAGGTAAAATAGTCATTTTTAAGAAAGAACCAAACTGAACTTCTGGAATTAAAGAATTCACTATAAAAATTTCATAATATAGTCAGAAACATTAATGACAGAATAGACCAAGCTGACAAAAGAATCTCAGAGCTCAAAAGCAAGCTCTTCAAGTCAACCCAGTCAGACAAAAATACAGAAAAAGGAATTTCAAAAAATGAACAAAACCTCCAATAAATATGAGATTATATAAAGAGACCAAATCTATGACTCATTGACATTTCTGAGAGAGAAGAGGGAGTAAACAACTTGACAAACATATTTAAGGATATAGTCCATGAAAACTTCCTCAGTCTCACTAGAGGGGTGGACACGCAAATTCAAGAAATACAGAGAACCCCTGTGAGCTACTGTACAAGATGACCATCTCCAAGATACATAGTCATAAGATTCACCAAGGTCAATGCAAAAGGGAAAACCTTAAAGGCATCTAGAGAGAAAGGTCAGGTCACTTATAAAGAGAATCTCGGCCGGGCACAGTGGCTTACGCCTGTAATCCCAGCACTTTGGGAGGCTGAGGCGGGTGGATTGCCTGAGCTCAGGGGTTTGAGACCAGCCTGGGCAACGTGACAAAACCCCGTCTCTACTAAAAATACAAAAATTAGATGGGTATGGTGGCACATGCCTGTAATCCCAGCTGCTTGGGAGGCTGAGGCAGGAGAATTGCTTGGACCCAGGAGGCAAAGTTTGCAGTGAGACAAGATCATGTCACTATACCCCAGCATGGGTGACAAAGCAAGACTCTGTCTCAAAACAAACAAACAAAAAAAGAATCTCAGGAAACCATCAGCAGGCATCTCAGCAGAAGCCTTATAAGCCAGAAAGGAAACATCCTCAAAGAAAAGAAATTCCAGCCAAAAGAATTTCATATCCCTCCAAACTAAGCTTCATAAGCAAAGGAGAAATAAAATTCTTCTCAGAAAAGCAAACATTAAGGGAATTCATTGCCACCAGACCAACCTTACGAGAGATCCTTAAGGGAGTGCTAAACATAGAAATGAAAGATTGATACCTGCCAGCACAAAAACACACTCAAGTACATAGCCCACAGAAAATACAAAGCAATTATACAACCAAGTCTACAAAACAACCAGATAACAATATGATGACATAATCATAACCTTACATATCAATATTAATCCTGAATGTAAATGGTTTAAATGTCCCACTTCAAAGGCACAGGGTGGCAAAGTAGATAAAAACACAAGGCCCAAAGTAAAGGGAGAAAGATCTACCATGCAAACAGAAAACAAAAAAGAGCAGGAATCACTATGTTTATGTCATATAAAACAGACTTTAAATCAATAACAATCAAGAAGCACAAAGAAGGGCATTACAAAATGATAAAGGGTTCCATTCAAAAAGAAGACTTAACTATCCTAAATACATATCCACCAAACACTGGAGCACGAAGATTCATAAAAAAAAAAGATCTTCTTGACCTACAAAAAGACTTGACCAGTCACAGAATAATAATAGGGGATTTTAACACTATTTGACAGCACTGGACAGATCATTGAGGCAGAAAACTAACAAAGAAATTCTGGTCATAAACCTGACACTTGAACAACTGGACCTAATAGACATCTACAGAATACTCCACCCCCAAACCACAGAATATATATTCTTCTCATCTGCACACAGAACATATTCTAAGATTGACCACATGCTTGGTCATAAAGCAAGTCTTGACTTCCAAAAAAATTGAAATCGTACCAAGCACACTCTCGGATTAGTGCAATAAAAATAGAAATCAATACCAAGAAGATCTCTCAAAACTACACAAAAACATGAAAGTTAAACAAACTTCTCCTGAATAACTCTTGGATGAACAATGAAATCAAGGCAGAAATAAAAAACATTATTTAAAATTAATGAAAACCAAGACAGAACTTACCATTATCTTTGGGGTACAGCTAAAGCAGTGTTCAGAGGAAAATTTAGTGCTAAACACCTTCATCAAGAAGTAGAAAGAGGCTGGGCATGGTGGCTCAGGCCTGTAATCCCAGCACTTTGGGAGGCCGAGGCAGGTTGATCACTTGAGGTCAGGAGATCAAGACCAGCCTGGCCAACATAGTGAAACCCCATCTCTACTAGAAATACAAAAATTACCTGCGCATGGCGGCAGGTGCCTGTAATTGCAGCTACTTGGCAGGCTGAGGAAGGCAAATCACTTGAATCCGAGAGGCAGAGGTTGCAGTGAGCCAAGAGCATGCCACTCCACTCCAGCCAGGGCAAGAGAGGGAGACTGTCTCTCAAAAAAAAAAAGAAGAAGAAGAAGAAGTTAGAAAGATCTCAAATTAATGATCTAAAATCACATCTAAAGGAACTGGAAAAAAAAAAGGAAAAACCAATTCCAATACTAGTAGATAAAAAGAAATAACTAAAATCAGAATCAGAAAAGAACTACACAAAATTGAGATGCAAAAGTCCATACAAAAGATCAATGAAACTAAGTTTGTAATTCAAAAGAATAAACAAAATTTAAAGACTGTTAGCTAGATAAACTAAGAAAAAAACAGAGAACATCCAAATAAGTGCAATCAGAAATGACAAGACTGATCCCACAGAAATACAAAAGACCTTCAGAGACTATTATGAACATCTCTACTCACACAAATTAGAAATCTAGGGGAAATGGATAAATTCTTGAAAACATACAACCTTCAAAGATTGAACAAGGGAGAAAGTGAAAACATGAACAGAACAATAACAAACTCCAAAACTGAATCAGTAATAAAAACCTAACAGCCAACAAAAGCCCTAGAACAGATGGATTCACAGCCAAATTCTACAAGACATACACATAACTGGTACCAATCCTACTAAAACTATTCCAAAAAATCAAATAGGAGAGGCTCCTCCCTAACTCGTTCTATGAAGCCAGTATCATCCTCATGCCAAAATCTGTCAATTTTCATCTGAAAATCTAAAATTTCATCTGAAATTTCATCAAATTTCAATCTGTCTTTTCATCTGTCAGTGAAAAAAAAAAAAAAACTTGAAGCCAATATCCCTGACAAACATAGATGCGAAAAACCTCAACAAAATACTAGCAAACTGAATCTAGCAGCACATCAAAAAGCTAATTCACAACCAGGCGTGGTGGCTCACACCTGTAATCCCAGTACTTTGGGAGGCCAAGGTGGGCAGATCACTTGAGGTCAGGTGTTCAAGACAAGCTTGGCCAACATGATGAAACCCTGTCTCTACTAAAAATACAAAAAATTAGCTGGGGGTGGTGGTGTGTGCCTGTTAACCCAGCTACTCGGGAGGCTGAGGTGGGAGGATTGCTTGAGCCCAGGAGGCAGAGGTTGAGGTGAGCCAAGATTGCACCACTGCACTCCAGGATGGGCGACAGAGCAAGACCCTGTTTCCAAAAAAAAAAAATGTGACTTCACCAGGATCAAGTAGGCTTTATTTCTGGTTTGCAAGGTTGGTTCAACATACACAAATCAATAAATGTGATTCACCACATAAACAGAAAAGCAGAAACCCTATGATCATCTCAATAGATATATTAAAAGCTTTTGATAAAACTCAACATCCCTTCATTATAAAAACCCTCCACAGACTAGGCATTGAAGGAACATACCTCAAAATAATAAGAGCCAACTATGACAAACCCACAGCCAGCATCATACTGAATGGGAAAAAGCTGGAATCATTCCCCTTGAGAACTGGAACGAGACAAATATGCCCACTCTCTCTACTCCCATTCAACATAGTACTGGAAGTCCTAGTCAGAGCAATCAAGCAAGATAAAGAAATAAAAGGCATCCAAGTAGGAAAAGAAGTCGTCAAACTATCTCTGTTCACTGACAACATGATTCTATACTTGGAAAACTCTGAATACTCCATCAAAAGAGTCCTAGAACTGACAAACAACTTTAATAAAGTTTCAGGATACAAAATCAATGTAGAAAAATCAGTAGCATTTCTATACACCAATAATGTCCAGGCAAAGAGTCAAATCAAGAACACAATCCCACTTAACAATGGCCACTAAGAAAATGAAATACCTAGGAATACAGCTAACCAAGGAAGTGAAAGATCTCTACAAGGAGAACTACAAAATATTGCTGATAGAAATCAGAGACAACACAGATAAATGTAAAAACATTGCATGCTCATAGACTGGAAGAATCAATATTGTTAAAATAGCCATACTGCCCAAAGCAATTTACAGATTCAATGCTATTTCCATTAAACTACCAACGTCATTCTTCATAGAATTAGAAAAAACTATTCCAAAATGGAAACAAAAAGGAGGCTGAATAGCCAAAGCAATCCTAAGCAAAAAGAACAAAGCCAAAGGCATCACACTACCTGACTTCAAACTATACTATAAAGCTACAGTAACCAAACGGCATGGTACTTGTACAAAAACAGACCCACAGACCAATGGAACAGAATAGGGAACTCAGAAATAAAGCTGCACACCTATAACCATCTGATCTTCAACAAGGCCAACTGAAACAAGCAATACGGAAAGGAATCTGTATTTAATAAATGGTGCTGGAATAACTGGCTAGAAATATGCAGAAGAATGAAACTGGACCCATACATTTCACTGTATACAAAAATTAACTCAAATTTTATTAAAGATTTAAATATAAGACCTCAAACTATTAAAACCCTAGAAGGAAACCTAGGAAATACCCTTCTCGGCACAGGACTTAGCAAAGAACTTTTGACTAAGTCCCCAAAAGCGATTGCAAAAAAAAAAAAATTGATAAGTGGGACTTAATTGAACTAAAGAGCTTCTGTACAGCCAAAAGAAACTATCAACAGAGTAAAGAGACAACCTACAGAATGGGAGAAAACATTCACAAACTACATATCCAACAAAGGTCTAATAATAAGAATCTATAAGGAACTTAAACAAATCAACAAGCAAAAACCAAATAGCCCCATTTAAAAAAATGGGCAAAGGACGCAACAGACACTTCTCAAAAGAAACATATAAGCAACCACAAACAGATGAAAAAATGCTCATCATCACCAATCATCAGACAAGTACAAACTAAAACCACAATGAGATACCTACTCACACCAGTCAGAATTGTTATTATTAAAAAGTTAAAAAACAACACATGCTGGCATGGCTGTGGAGAAAAGGGAATGCTTACACACTGTTAGTGGGGATGTAGATTAGTTAAACCATTGTGGGAAGCAGCTTGGAGATTTCTCAAACAACTTAAAATAGAGCTACCATCCGACCCAGCAATCCCATTACTGAGCATAAACCCAAGGAAAATTAGATCATTATACCAAAAAGACATATGCACTTGTATGTTCATAGTCACACTCTCCACAATAGCAAAGACATGGAATCAACCCAGGCGCCCATCAATGGTGGGTTAGATAAAGAAAATGTGGTATATGATATACATATGATATACATCATGGAATTTCATGTAGACATAAGAAAGAACAAAATCATATCCTTTGCAGCAACATAGATGGAGCTGGAGGCCATAATCCTAAGCCAATTAATGCTGGAACAGAAAACCAAATACCATGTGTTGTCACTTGTACGTGGGAGCTAAATATTGAGCACATCATAAACATGGGAACAATGCAAACTGCAGATTACTAGAGTGGGGGAGGGGATGTGGATTGAAAAACTACCTCTTGGGTACTATGCTCACTACCTGGGTACAATATACCCAGGTAACAAAACTGCACATGTACCCCCTGTATCTAAAATAAAAGCTGAAAAGAAACTAGTCATCCCCAACAAAGGCTTTCTTGTCCTACTACTCACTATACATGCATTAAGATTGACATACACAGCTATGTGCTCTTAATGGGGAAAACTGTTTCTGCTTGGACTATTTCCTTCTGCATGAAATAGCGTTGTTTGGGTCTGAAATATTTTATCCACTTTATTTCTGTTCTACTTATTTGTTGGTATGTAACCATTCACCTCAGCCTACAGGTGTAAGTAGCTATTGACATGGGTGCTCACTCTGTATTGCTCCTCCTATAGGGAATTGCGTGACAAAGGAGAAGTTTTAGCCATTAATAGCCCCAAGAGATTTGGCAAGGCCTGATAAGGAGCACTGGTCTGGAGTAGGGCGTCTGAGGGTTGAGAACCCTAAATGGTTATCTAGTTCATTTCTATGATACAGGGATCCCTTGTACAATAATGTCTCAGAAAAGTGACTATTCTCATGTCTGCTCTGTACTTCACAAGACAACCCATTCCATTTTGGAAAATTACTATGCTTAAAGTCAGGGGAACAAGAAATTATATATTCTATACCTCAGTTTAGTTCTAGCTATGCCTTCCAAAGGCACATAAGTCTAATTCCTTTTTATCTAATAGACATTAAATTACTTGAGGACAATAATTGCATGCTCATTTCTTTCAATGATTCTTCATTACATTATAGTTTCTGGATTCTAGAATAACATAGTCATTCTGTTCTTAATAGAAATTTGGGTTTGGAAGCCTAAAGTTTAAACTTATACCATGCCTACAAACACTTGGCCTTTGCTTCCCTTCCCCACAATCAATTTGAAAGGAAAAGTTGATTATACTGAATATGTCATGACTAAATGCATGATGATTAAATAGACCAAAAAATATACAGATATAAATGTATGTGAATAAAATATAAATGTAAGAATAACAGCTACAAATACAAATATATATGAATAGACCACCAAAAAGTTGTATATTTTATACAGCCTAAGCCCCTGTTTTGGCTGAATCTAGTTTTTTCAACTATAAAATCTAAGAAATCTCTATTATACATCATTAGATTTAAAAAGGCAGATGCAGAAAATCATGTATTATGTTACTATTTTAAGTTTTTTAAAAGAAAATATATGTTTCTGTGTGGATGCAATTACTATGGATATAATATTGCTGGAAATATATTAAGATACTGGTAACAAAATTAGTTGCCTGAGAAGAGGGGAAGTTGGTGAATGAATAAGGCCAAGGGTGTGTAATCAACTTTACAGAAGCTTTTGCAACTTTTGAATTCTTAATTGTGTGGATATATTTCATAATCACAAGTAACATTAAAACTTAAATAAGACAATAAATAAAAATATACAGTAATTAAACAAAGAATCACACAAATGCCAGAATAAAACATGTCTGGTGCATTTTCTCTCACCAGTAGTATGATGCATGGCCTATTAATTAAGCACATGGGAAAATGAAATAATCCAAGTATTGAATTCAGTCCCCAAATTGCTGTCTTCCAAGGTTCACATCCAGACCAAGATTCATCCTTATATATACACAGACATGGAGGATGTAAAGTAATCCTCGTGTTCAAGTTTCAAAATTACAGTTCTATATTAAATATAATTATTTTTTAATGTTCATGCCTTTAAATATTTCATCACATATTGGATTGTGCATGTACATCTTGGTTGGAAGTTTCAAACAATTTAAAATGATGATATCATTGCTCATTTTAGCAATGTCAGTAACTAACATGATCAATGGTTTGATAAGATTGATAATCAGAAATATATTTTTAAAGGTATAAGAAAATTACCTTCAAATTGTAGCGTTTGTTTCATAAAGCCATGAACAAATACACTTTCTTCCATTGTTGAGATTCAGAATGTGACTGAATCATTTTTCAGTAAGTCAAAAACTAAGGGAATAACACACAGATGTGCATTGCAAGCACAGTCATGTTAGGAATTTGTAACCTAGCATAATCCAATGACAGGTTTAGAAGTAATTCTTTCAACTAAATATATGACAGACCAATTGTATCAAATAACTGCCCCTACTAAATATCAAGTTATAAGCAGAAATCATCAAGTCGTTAAAGATACTCTATTCTAGCTCTCATATACAAATCTGTTCATTTAGCATATATTCACTGACTGCCCTCTATATGGCAAGACAGTGAAAACAAACAGAAAACATGGTCACTGCCTTCAAAGAGTTCCTATCCCAGTAAAGGAGGGAGAGAGAAAAATGTACCAACACTGCAAAACACCAAAATTACTTCTCTAATAGAAGCAAACAGACGTGAGTACAAAAATTTTGTCGTGGCCCAAGAAAGGGAACTGTTAATCTACTTGGCAAAGGGGAATGGGGAGGGATCTTTAGGAAGATGCTACCTCTCACAGTAATAAAGCTTGACAGTGGCAGAGCCTTCATTCCAATTTAGATCTCTGGATTTCCAGGTAGTATTCATTTTGCTACACTGTTCCCTAACAAACTGATCAAAGATCACTGATACTATTAGCTACAGCACACACGCATGTGAGTGAGACTTAATTTAAGCAGTGTTTTAAGTAGTGTCTTGCTAACAATTACCCACTACACAGAATGAAGACCTTTTCAACAACTCAAACTTTATACCTAAAGCACTTAACACTCATACACATCCATACTGTGATATGCATATGTGTGTGTACATATAGTTTCACACAGAACTTAACAGAGATCAATAGCTAGTGATAAGTATTATTTCAAAGCTAGAGTCCAATTCTGTTTATTTACAATCACTTTGCTGCTGAAAGCTTATTAACTAACCAGCTGTTAGACTGCGCTGCCCCAAAGCCATTATCCCAGCAGGATACTATACTTGGATTGGAACCAAAGATGAATCGTTTCATTATCATCTTCTTTCTTATTAACAAAAAACATTTCAGAGGGATTACCTGGCTTAATTGGCTAATTCAATACATAACTAACTTGGTTACTTAGATTATCCAACTATACTACCCTCATTAACTGTATGCAAATAAAGCAATTAAAACCTCTGATGCTATGCGTGACAGGTAAGAAGTAAGTACTAGAGCACACCAAATGTCAATTCCCATCAGGTGGCAAAAGACTAAGTTTGGCACTACAGTGGATAACTCTTACTCTTCCACACAACTGAAAATACTGTAGTAATTTAAAGCTTCAAATCGGCTTTAAAGAAAGAATGGCACAGTATTCAGGGTCAGAGATAATAGCAATAATAATAGTTAAAGATCAGTGGACAGTGCTACCCAATCTAAAATAAGAAGATGCAGCTTGTGCCCAAGTCTTGGTATTCTCAAAGCTCCATCAAGCTCCTTTAACAGGGTGTGGTGGCTCCCACCTGTAATCCCAGCACTTTGGGAGGCTGAGGAGGGTGGATCATTTGAGGTCAAGAGTTTGAGAGCAGCCTGGCCAACATGGTGAAACCTCATCTCTACTAAAAATACAAAAATTAGCCAGGCATGGTGGCACATGCCTGTAGTCTCAGCCACTCAGGAGGCTGAGGCAGGAGAATCCCTTAAGCCCAGGAGGTGGAGGTTGCAGTGAGTCGACATCGTGCCACTGCATGCCAGCCTGGGCGACAGAGTGAGATCAGTCTCAAAAAAAAGAAAAAAAAAAAAGAATGGCCTTTAAGATAACATGAAAATTTTTGTTAAAGTGAAGCATCTATCCTCCCAGAATCAGGTATTCTTCACAGAGGTTATATTCAGCAGCATGCTCTTAGAAATAGAGCTTGTGTCTAACGTTTAAGTGGTGCCAGCCAGGCTCATTCCCCAGTCCCTTAGCTATTTATGCTGCCACACGTGTATCTAAAACTTCTCCTATTATGTCACAAGCCTGGAAAATACACTGTTATTATTCCATTATTTTTATCAACTTAAGACCACACAAGTTTTTTTAAAGGGTAAAAAATAACACCATCTTCTTTCTACATCATGACACGCTAAGATGGAAGAAACAAAAATGCTATTATTTTTCCTCAAGCTATGCTGCTCCTGACCGCCTTTTATTCCTCCCTGATGAATCCAATAGGCTATTGTTATAAGAAGACATCTAAAGTAATATTTCTTTTCCATATGAGTTATATAATCCTAAATGTCCAAACGAATGAAAGCTGGCCATTCTATTTCTAAAAGAAGTTAGATTACTGTTAAGACCTAAATCACATCAAAATAATCACACAGAGTACAAATAGAAAAACAGTATACGTGTGTGTGTGTGTGTGTATGTGCATACACACACACATATATATATATATACATACACACAAAAGAGCTTATTTTATGAAAGACTATTGTGATGAAAGCAAACTAAAGGCAACTGAACCATGGTCACAAATTATTTTGTTGTGATGAAAATTGATTCAAAGAACTTCAGAGGTGGGGAAAGGAGTTGGTAAAAGGATTATTGAGAAAAGAGACAAGACTGTTTAAACTCAATAGTCATATTAGCAATTTAAGAACTTGATTATACCTTTGAAATGAACAATAACTCAGTAACAACTCCAAAAGAAAGACAGTATATTTTTATGATACGGGATAATCATATTGGCAATTCAAAGATGTAATAAACATGACTCAAAGAAGAAACAATTCATAATAAACATAAGCTGAGTACAAATTTCTTATAAGACAAAAGTTTTTTTAAAAAACTAATTCAAAAAGCCATGAAAAACCTTCATCACATCAAACCTCATTCTCAGAAAATACAAAGAAAATTCTTGTATTTTCCTCTTTCTCTGTACAGAAATAACAAGAATCTTAGCACGCATAATAATACAATAAAGTAAACTAGGATTGCTAAGTCATTAGTAACATAAGTGACTCATGAAAAAGTGAACTAATATTCATCTAGAGTTACGCATTTATCATTATGGTTTTTTGGATTGCTTTTCTGGTCATTGATTATTGTCTTTCTGTTTAAGAACTTTAGCCTTAAAGCTTAAAGAAGTAATTATGTCTTTAAATATTACATTCAAATATCTTAAAAGATTAAAAGAAATAGCTGCAACATATACCTCTTTGGACTTCATTTAATTGTATTTATTCAACTATAGAAACTTTTCTTCTGGCGTACAGAGGACACAGAAATAATTATTTCCACCTATCTTTCTGTCATGAATTAGTCCAGTATTAGCTATAAACAGAAATTGAACAAATTCTTTACAAGTTCTTTGACTCTTTGTTTCTTTAAAATGCAAAAATACAATATATTTTGAAAGCAGTTTTTATATCGATTATATAAATATTATTTCATATATTTATTTATATGTTATGTATATTTAATGTAGGTATATGTTATGCTATTAATTTCTTTGCAAAAACAATAGAATGCATTTCACATGTTGATTTTAGATTTTTGCATACTTTCTAGTATTAAATGTAGCAAACTGCCTTTAACTGCAATTACAACTCACCAAAAATTAGTATGATTTCCACATATCAGACTAATATTATAATAAAATATTTTAATTTATTGATTACTAAGTCAATTTTTAAAAGATCTAAAATAAAAAATTTAACATATGTTATAGCCAAATGAAAGCTTTGAAAACAACTATAAATTTTACTTTATTCAATTATATAAATGAATTGAAACTTGCATTTCCATAATAGCATTTGAGATGAAATTTGTTGATAAAGATTTATTTTCTTTTAATACTTCTTCCTTTCAAATAGGTACAAGACTGATTTGTCTAACCCTGGGTTCTGCTAAGTAGCAATTGTTTTATTCCAAAGATGCAGAGTGGCTATCTAACCTCTGCTGCAATATTGTCTCCTAGGACACCAACATGAAGCTTCTAGAATTTATGATACATTGTCCTGGATCAACCACTATAACAAAAATTGAAAGTTATTTATATATCTGGAAGACCATATCTATTGAATTCCTCTGGAAATATCAATCACTTTTAGACAGGAATTTACATTTCACTTGTTTTAAAATAATGTACTTCCAGTTGGTAAATGGTCACAATCTGTGTCCAGAATATAGATGAACAACAACAAAACTCCAAAAGAGTAATTTTCATCTTTAGTGTGTCCCGAGAAGCAGATTTCTCATTGGAAACAATGCAAGCAAGGAGAGTGCAGCAACATCACAAAAGTATTGAAAGAAAAACATCCATCATCCTAGAAGTTAAAATCCAGTGAAAACAACTTTCAAAAACAAAGATGAACTAAAGACCTCAAAATATATGTGAAAATTAACTCAAAATGGATCACAGACCTAGATGTAGAACCTAAAACTGAAAACCTCTAAAGTAAAATAGGAAATATCTTTGTGACACTGAGGCAAAGATACATTATTAGGTTTCTGCAAAAGTAATTGCAGTTTTTCCCATGGAAACTAATGGCCAAAACCACAATTACTTTTGCCCCAACCTAATAGCTATGACACAAAAAGCACAATCCATCAAAAATAAATTAATTAATATTATACACAACAAAATTAAGAACTTCTCTTCAAAAGAAATCATGAAAAGAATGATAAAACAAGCATCAGCATGGGGTAAAATATTTGCAAGCTGCATTTCTCATAAAATGGCTTGGATCTAGAATATATAAAGAATTCTCAAAATGTGATAATAAGAAAAGCTTACTATGGGAGGTTACAAATATGTTAATTTGCATGACTGTAGTAATCATTTCACTATGTAAATGTATATGAAAACATTAGGTTTTACATCCTAACTATAGAAAATTTTTAAAAAGAAATAAAACAGTTGAAAAAATTTTAAAGGTTAAAAAAAATTTTTTTTAATGGGCAAAAAATGTGAATAAATGCCTCACCAAAGAAGATCTACAGAACTCAATAAAGCATATGAAAAGACGCTCAATAAGTCAATAAGCATATGAGAAGTATTTAATATTATTAGACATTATAGAATTGCAAATTAAAACCACAGTGTGATACTACTAAGCCTTTTAAAATGGCTAAAATGAAAAAGACTGGACCAGTCTTCTGGCTAGGATGGGAAGTGAACAGAATTCTCATCTACTGCTGTTGGGAATGTAAAATGGTATAAGCATTTTGGAAAACAGTTTAGCAGTTTCTTTTTCTTTTCTTTTTTTTTTTTTGAGACGAAGTCTCGCTCTTGTCCGGCAGGTTGGAGTGCAATGGCATGATCTCGGCTCACTGCAACCTCTGCTACCTGGGTTCAAGCGATTCTCCTGCCTCAGCCTCCCTAGTAGCTGGGATTACAGGCACCTGCCACCATGCCCGGCTAATTTTGGTATTTTTAGTACAGACGGGTTTTCACCACGTTGGCCAGGCTGGTCTCGAACTCCTGACCTCAGGTGATCCACCCACCTCGGCCTCCCAAAGTGGTGGGATTACAGGCGTGAGTCACCGTGCCTGGCCAGCAGTTTCTTAAAAAGTTAAATACACAGCTATGTGACAAAACTAGTCCACTTCTAGGTATTAATATTTACCCAAGAGAAATGGCAACATAGGTCCACACAAACACTTGTAACATGAATGCTCAACAGCATCCTGACAAGTAACAGCCAAAACCTGGAAATGGCCTAAATTTTCATTAACAGTGAAATGATAAATAATATTTCATGAAATGGAATTTTACTTCAGCAATAACAATAAATGCTTTATTGATGAATGCAAAAACGTGAATGACTCTTGAAATAATCTGAGTTTAAAATGTGATATCATATGGCAAAAGGGATTTTTCCAACATCATTAAGGTTACTAATCAGTTGATCTGACTTAATCAAAAGAGAGATTATCCTTTTAGACATAACTTAATCTCATGAGCCCTTTAGATTTGGGTCTAGCAGTCAGAGACAGAGAAAATCAGGGTTTTGAAACACAAGAAGGTTTTGACACACCTGACTTTGTACATGGAGTGAACCAGTTGGCTAAGAATCACAGGCAGCCTCCAGAAGCGGAGAGAGGCCCGTCAGCTGACAGCCAGCAAGGAAACAGGGACTTCAGTCCAATAAGTGCAAAGAATTGGATTTGGCTAACAACCTGAATGAGCTTGAAGAAAGACTTTCAGCTCTAGATAAGACGACAGTCCTAATCAACACCTTGATTCTGGTTTTATGGGACCCAGAGCAGAGAATCCAGTCAACCCATACCCAGACTTCTCATCTACAAAACTATGAGCTCATAAATAGGTGTTGTTTTAAGCTGCTAAGTTTGCAGTAACTTGTTTTGCACTAAAGGAAACTAATACACATGGTAAAACTATGGTAAAAGAAATATTGTAAAAATATCAATACCTACCCAGCAGCAATCTATAGAATGGAAGAAAGTGAAAAGTAGTGGATGCTGTAGGAGTCTCACTTGTCTTGGCACTCACCATGCCAGTACATGACCATAGTAGTGAGAAAAAGAAAAGCAGCTCCTGATAGCTGGGAGATTGACTGGTACTATCCAATAAGACACAGTGTCCTTCTGTTGATCATAACCAGTTTCACAGAACACCAATAGTGGACAAGTCTATTCCATGACAATGACGGATCAAAATGAACACAAGACCACTTGGTGATCATGTCTGAACTCAGACAAAAACAAGAACATTGTCTAAACTCCCAAAATGAACAAACGTCTCTCTATCTGGGCTAATATAAGTGAGAATTACTTCTTTACCAATTATAGCTGTAGCTTGCTCTTGTTCTTCTCTCCTTCAAGCTAAGAATTCTGGGCCGGGAGCAGTGGCTCAAGCCTGTAATCCCAGCACTTTGGGAGGATGAGGTGGGCAGATCATGATGTCAGGAGTTCGAGACCAGCCTGACCAACATGGTGCAACCCCCATCTCTATTAAAATGCAAAAATTAGCCGAGCATGGTGGCACGTGCCTGTAATCCCAGCTACTCAGGAGGCTGAGGCAGGAAAATCACTTGAACCTGGGAAGCAGAGGTTGTAGTGAGCCGAGATCGTGCCTCTGCACTCCAGCCTGGGCGACAGAGCGAGACTCCATCTCAAAAAAAAAAAAAAAAAAAAGAATTCTAAAGATATCCAGACATAGGATGATCTATGTTTTCTGGCAACAGAAAATCCCAGAGCAAATCTCCACCTCCTAGAACCTCTTCCTTGTTACCTGACATGAGACCAAATCCTGTAAATCCTTTCTAATACTTGCTTACTGAGATGCTCCACAGTTCCTCCACAGCATGCACTCTCACTCACTGTGATGAATCAATCAACAGAGAGTTCTTCAACCACAGGAGGGCTCTTGGTATCCTACTTACCCTCTGCCTGGGTGCTTTCTCCTAGATTTGCTTACTGGCATGGGGAAGGGTAGAAATAAACTGTTGGGGAGTTAACAGACTTACAAAAAGTCCTCATTCAACGGGAGGAGGTGGAGGATAAATCTCCAAGCTTCCTCACCCTTTAAGGGAGATAACTCAGAGATCTCCAATGGAACGGGGCCTCAAAATGTATGGATGGGCTTCAATCAACTTCTGCAGGCCAGGTCTTCATAAAGGCTGAACAGGCAGGGCTCCACAACAACTGTTTCAGCACTGACTGAGTGATGAAGTTAAATATTAAAAGCTGAGACAGCCAGTGCCCTTATACAAAGGCTGGAATGTAACAAAAGCCCATCAAGAATTTTGCCTAGGCCTCTCCTGGGCCTTAAAGCATGACGAGATAATGAGGGAATTCTTAACATGACCCGTTTAAGATTAAACAACTTTTACTGGGGGTCTGAAGAAATTCCCCAGGCCTCTGCAAACAAGTTTATTGGGTCTGAAGGAACTCCCCACACCTCCATGATTTGGCAGGGGAGAAGATAAGGGAATCATCCCAGCACCTGGACCCATTTAGATTAGGTAAGTGTACTGAGGCTCCAGAGGAAGGTCTTCTGAACTCAGATCTTAGTTACAGATTAGAAGAAGTTAATCACTTATCACTTTAGATGAATGTACACTTACACGTATACATATAGCTTAGAAGGTATATAAGCTCTGGAAAACTTTATAATTTTGAGTTTGGTGATATTTTTACAGGCCTTCTCCCTGTACCTGGTTGCAGGAATAAACTCCCGTCTTTCCCAGTTCATCTGCATCCCATTACTGGCCCACAGGAATAAGCAGCCCAGCCCTGGGTTTGGTCCCGGAACAAACTGACCTTAAAAAAAAGGAGATTATCACTAACAGCAGCCAGAGAGAAAGGTTGGGTTACACACAAAGGGAAGCCCATCAGACTAACAGCTGATCTCTCGGCAGAAACCCTACAAGCCAGAAGAGAGTGGGGTCCAATATTCAACATTCTTGAAGAAAAGAATTTTCAACCCAGAATTTCATATCTAGCCAAACTAAGCTTCATAAGTAAAGAAGAAATAAAATCCTTTACAGACAAGCAAATGCTGAGAGATTTTGTCACCACCAGGCCTGCCTTACAAGAGCTCCTGAAGGAAGCACTAAACATGGAAAGGAATAATTGGTACCAGCCACTGCAAAAACATGCCAGATTGTAAAGCCCATCGATGCTAGGAAGAAACTGCATCAACTAATGGGCAAAATAACCAGCTAACATCATAATGACAGGATCAAATTCACACATAACAATATTAACCTTAAATGTAAATGGGCTAAATGCCCCAATTAAAAGACATAGACTGGCATATTGGATTAAAAAGTCAAGACCCATCAGTGTGCTGTATTCAGGAGACCCATATCACATGCAGAGACACACATAGGCTCAAAATAAAGGGATGGAGGAAAATCTACCAAGTGAATGGAAAGCAAAAAAAAGCAGGAGTTGCAATCCTAGTCTCTGATAAAACAGACTTTAAACCAACAAAGATCAAAAGAGACAAAGAAGGGCATTACATAATGGTAAAGGGATCAATTCAACAAGAGCTAACTATCCTAAATATATATGCACCCAATACAGGAGCACCCAGATTCATAAAGCAAGTCCTGAGAGACCTAAAAAGAGACTTAGATTACCACACTATAATAATGGGAGATTTTAACACCCCACTGTCAACATTAGGCAGATCAACGAGACAGAAAGTTAACAAGGATATCCAGGAATTGAACTCAGCTCTGCACCAAGCAGACCTAATAGACATCTACAGAACTCTCCACCCCAAATCAACAGAATATAAATTCTTCTCAGCAACACATTGCACTTATTCCAAAATTGACCACATAGTTGGAAGTAAAGCACTCCTCAGCAAATGTAAAAGAAATGTAAACTAGTTCAACCATTGTGGAAGTCAGTGTGGCGATTCCTCAGGGATCTAGAACTAGAAATACCATTTAACCCAGCAATCCCATTACTGGGTATATACCCAAAGGATTATAAATTATGCTACTATAAAGACACATGCACACATATGTTTATTGCAGCACTATTCACAATAGCAAATACTTGAAACCAACCCAAATGTCCATCAATGATAGACTGGATTAAGAAAACGTGGCACATATATACCATGGAATACTATGCAGCCATAAAAAAGGATGAGTTCATGTCCTTTGTAGCAACATGGATGAAGCTGGAAACCATCATTCTGAACAAACCATCACAAGGACAGAAAACCAAACACCACATGTTCTCACTCATAGGTGGGAACTGAACAATGAGAACACTTGGACATAGGGCTAGGAACATCACACACTGGGGCCTGTCCTGGGGTGGGGGATTGGGGAGGGGGAGCATTAGGAGAAATACCTAATGTAAATGACGAGTTAATGGGTGCGGCAAACCAACAGGGCACATGTATACCTATGTAACAAACCTGCACGTTGTGCACATGTACCCTAGAACTTAAAGTATAATAAAAAAAAAAAAAAAAGGAGATTATCCTGGATTATCTGAGTGAGCCCAGTGTAATCACAAGGATCTTTAAAATGTATAAGAGGAGGCGGAAGAGTCAGTACACACTGAAGCCATGTGAGAAAGACTCAAATGGCTTTGCTGGCTTTGAAAATGGAAGGGGACAACAAGCCAAGGAATAGGGATAACCTCTAGAAGATGGAGAAAGAAAGAATATGAACTCTCCCCTAGAGCCCCTAGAAAGTGATATAGGAGTTAAGAAGATATCACTTAGGCAGATAGTAAAGGTATGGGAATCCTCAGTAAGGCTTTTCTTTTTAATGAAAAGCAGCCCCAAATCATTTCCTAGCAAAGAGCAGCCTGTAAAGTCAAGCCATAGACACAGAATAGATAAGCAAGCTGGGAGCGTCCCTGGGTGAATGACGGCAGGAACTAGGGACTAGTACCATGTTCAAGATGGCGGCTCCATCTACCCTTCTCTACCTTACGTGTACAGTAAGGAGCAGACAAGATGGCACTGGCCAAGGGGAGAGTTCATTTGCATAAGATTACGGTGGGGCAACCAGTCTTCCCCTTGTGCTATGTAAACATCATACCTGATTGAACCAATCTGTAAGCCCCACTAAATCAGACACCACCTCCTCAAACGGGACTATAAAATCTGGCACATTCACTGCCAGCTGGTCTTTTCTGCTCAGAAGACCCCTCTCTATAGAGAGAGCTGTTTTTCTTTCTCTTTTCTTCTGCCTATTAAGCCTCCACCCCTAAACTCTTCATGTGTGTCTGTGTCCTAAGTTTTCCTGGTGCAAGACTACGAACCCCAGGTATATACCCCAGACAACATAGCCGCTTCAAAAGGAATGCAGCACTGTTGACCATTTGATTACATCCCAGTGAGGCTCATTATGTTTGTATGTAATGTATGTATGTATGTATTTAGTAGAGATGTTACTCTACTCTACTCTCTATGCTACTCAGGCTGATCTCAAACTATTGTCCTCAAGCTATCCTCCCACCTCAGCCTCCCAAAGCTCTACGATTATAGGCATGAGCCACTGTACCCACCCAAAACCCACTTTGAAATTCTGTCCTATAGAACTGTAAAATAAAAAAACTGTGTGGTCTTCAAGCCACTAAGCTTGTGGTAATTTGTTATAGCAGCAATAGAAAGCTAATACAGTTACTTATATACACAAGACGGACCAAAGTAAACTAATACAATTAAACATCCCTAATCTGAAAATCTGAAATCTGAAATGCTCCAAAATCCAAAACTTTTGAGCACTGACATAATATCACAAGTGGGAAATTCCACACATAAGTACTTAACACAAACTTCGTTTCATGTACAAAGCTATTAAAAATATTGTTTAAAATTACCTTCAGGCTATGTGTATAAGGTATTTATAAGGCATAAATGAATTTTGTGTTTAGACTTGGGCCCCAGCCTCAAGATATCTTATTATGTATATGCAAATATTCCAAAATTTTTAAAAAATCTAAAATCTGTGAAACACTTCTGGTCCCATACATTTCACATAAGAGATACTCAACCTCTAGAAAGGACGGAGAAAAAGAAATAGTGATAACAAATAATTAGAGTTTTATTGAAAGGAAAAGAAAGGAGGAGGGAAAATACTGATTTGTGAAAGAAACTGAGTTCACACTTAGGATGACTACAGGGTTATATCACTGCATCCAATGTCGCTAACAAGCAGTTTGAAAAATGAGAATAAAGCATAGGTGAGCAGTTAATTACACAGATATAGAGGACAAGTCCGTAATCTTAAATTAAATTGATTTCCTGAAGAGGAGTTTATACAAAAGATCAGGAAAACAGAGACTGAAACATGAACATTTTGAGGACAGGACAAGGAACAGTGAGGTAGGAGAACCAGTCAGTGCAGCAGTACAGAAGTCAAGAAAGAACAAAGTTGCAAAATGCAGCTGGTTCTCAAAAGTTCTAATTGCAGCTGTAGAGAACAGGCCTAATAAATGTTTATTTAGGTTGAACAATTAGTGACATAAACCCTTCAAGACTTCACAGTAGAGGAGTGGAGGAAGTTAAATGCTTATCTTACGTAAAAACAAGCTTTAGCAGTTCCCACCCACTTGCTCCTACATCCCTGGGAGCCATCTTTATTTTTACTCCACACCCACCTGGCCACAGAATTTAGCCTTCTTTAAATTCATCTGAAATAATGCACCTATGCAGGGCATTAATGAACAATGCAGATTTACTGAAGCTTTTTAAGAATATGAAGTGGTGGAATTATAAATCACAGCCTCCATAAAACAACTTAAATACTCCAGTTAGATACAGAACCTATAGTCTCCCAAAAGCTCCCTTCTCAGCCATACCACACTGGTGATTCCCTTTATTCTCTCCCTCCTTCATTTGTTTGTTCTTTCTTTCTTTCCTTCTTTTTTCTTTTTTTTTTTTTTGAGACAGGTCTCACTCTGTCACCCAGGCTGGAGTGCAGTGGTGTGATCTGGGATCACTGCAACCTCCGCCTCCCAAGCTCAAGGGATCCTCCCACCTCAGCCTCCTGAGTAGCTGGGACTATGGGCATGCATCACCACACTCAGCTGATTTTATTTTTGTTTTGTTTGTTTGTTTGTTTTCTAGAGGCAGGGTTTTGCCATGTTACCCAGACTGGTCTTGAACTCCTGGAATCAAGAGATCTGCCTGCCTTGACCTTCCAAAGTACTGGGATTACAGGCAATGTGAGCCACTGCGCCCAGCCTGGATTTTCTCTAGCACTTTAAACTTCATCACCTTCCAAGTGGTGAACAAGAATTAAAGTGCTCTAAAATTCCATTGTCCTGAGTGGTAGATAGTAGTCATATGTGCTACTCTGAGCACTTGAAATGTGGCTGGTCCAAACCAAAATATGCTGGAAGTGTGAAATACACACTGGATTTCCAAGATTTTGTATAAAAAAACAGATGTTAAAGTATTTCATTAACAACTTTTTATATTGATTGCATGTTGAAATGATAATATTTTGGTTATATTGAGTTAAATAAATATATTATTAAAATTAATATCACCTTTTTTTTTTTTTTTTTTGAGACAGAGACTCACTCTGTTGCCCAGGCTGGACTGCAGTGGCATGATCTCAGCTCACTGGAACCTCTGCCTCGCTGGTTCAAGCCATTCTCCTGCCTCAGCCTCCTGAGCAGCTGGGATTACAGGTGCCCGCCACCACGCCCTGTTAATTTTTTTTTATTTTTAGTAGAGATGGGGTTTCACCATGTTGGCCAGGCTGGTCTTGAACTCCTGACCTCAAGTGATTCGCCTGCCTTGGCCTCCCAAAGTGCTGGGATTAGAGGCATGAGCCACCACACCCGGCCTCATTTCACCTTTTTAATGTAACTAGCAGAAAATTTAAAGTAGCTTCCATGGCTTATATTATATTCCTATTGGACAGCACTGTTCTGGAAATAAAAAGAACTTCATGTTAATAAGACTAACCCTCCATGGAAGGCAGTTTAAGAATAATCTTCTAAGAGGCTAATCGAATTACTTCTTACAAAAAGAAAACAAAACACAGAAACTTTGACCAAAAAGGGATTCAAAAGCCAGGTGTTAAACGAGCAAAATATTTCTCCATCTCATTACACATGCTACCTCTTTATGAAGAATTTTGCCCCATGCCAATTATCAGTACTGGGAAAGAAGAGGAGTCATGGCTGGTGTCCAGGTGGCCCAGTTCTGTGAACCTCTATCCATTTAGGAGACAGCAGAGAAAAACTGATAGCCCTGGAAGTCAAGCAACCTACAGGGGAACTGAATCTATAACCACAGCCTCATTAGCATAGCCTATAGCTCCCATTGCATCCTGTAGTTAATACCCTTATCAACACAAATCACACTATAATTACTTGTGTAATTAATTATCTCCACCACACAAGGCTGTGAGCTTTGTGAGGGCAGGGATCCATGTCTGTCTTGTCATCCACATATCCACAATACCCAGTAGCATGCAGAGTAAGTGCTCAATAAGTATTTATTAAATGGATATTTAATGAAAATCAAATTAACTAGTTTTTCTGCTCAGTGCATCTGGAACCATATATCTATCAATGAACTTCCTAGTTTGGAAATGCTATATAACCTATTCCTTATGGAAGAGCTAGAAAAGTGACAACTGATGACTATATATAAATGGATTATTCTAATGATAGTAGGCTATATTAATAAGAATATTAATAGCTAACTTTTACTAAGTGTTTGTCAGGTAATAGGTGTTGTGCTAACCATTTAACCATCTTTAAACATCTTTCACTTACTCATCACTACAATTTACCACATAGGTACTACTGTCATTCCCATTTCACAGATGGGGAGATTGAGACTTAGAGAATTTAAGCAATTTGCACAAAGACACTCAAAGAGCAAGGGGTGGTGCAAGGATTTAAATTTAATCTGACACTAGAACCTGAGACTTAACTATGCAAGATGATTCTTCACAGACACATGACTAAGTAACACCAATTGACACGAACTGACATTGTTGATCACTCCTTCCTCCTTTAAACATTGTCTTCACCTGGCTTTTAGAAGACTGTACATTCCTGGACCCATCCTATGTCAACAGCTGCTTCTTCTAAGTCTCCACTGCTGGTTTCTCTTTCTCGCTCCCCCAAGTCACATGACTTGATTATCTAGGACATCCTAAAATACATAAAAACACCTCCCAAAAATTGCTCCTAGGAAATGGAAGGCATTTATCCATAGGTGCCCATTCCCCATTGGTGGATCATTGCCTGGGGGTGTTAATGCCACCAAACTTCCCAAGGGCCAGGTGTGTGTGTGTGTGTGTGTGTGTGTGTGTGTGTGTGTGTGTGTCAGGAGTGACGGCATCTCAACCCTATCTGAGCACTGTTCCTGAAAAGGATACTTGCTGATGTTCACAAAACAATGTCAGTGTTCTATCAGGCCAATTTCCTCCAGTTGATACAATATATGGTAGGACCAGTGGAATTCCATGGTCGTGTGTCATTGTCACACCTCTTTTACCATAAAGTGTGTCCTTTAGTTGGAGGCAATACATCAGAAAATCATGTGTTTGGGCTGGGTGTGGTGGCTCACGCTTGTAATTGCACCACTTTAGGAGGCTGAGGTGGGCAGATCACTTGAGGTCAGGAGTTCACAACCAGCCTGGCCAACATGGTGAAACCGTGTCTCTACCAAAAATACAAAAAAATTAGCCAGGTGTAGTGGCAGGCACCTGTAATCCCAGCTACTGGGGAGGCTGAGGCAGGAGAATGGCTTGAACCTGGGAGGCAGAGGTTGTGCCACTGCATTCCAGCCTGGGCAACAGAGTGAGACTCTGTGTCAAAGAAGGAAGAAAGGAAGGAAGGAAGGGAGGGAGGGAGGGAGGGAAAGAGAGAAAGAAAGAGGAAGGAAGGAAGGGAGGGAGGGAGGGAGGAGATGGAGGGAAGGAAGGGAAAGAAAGAAAAAAGAAAGGAAGGAAGAAAAAAGAAAAGAAAGAAGGAAAAGAGAGAGAGAAAGGAAAGAGAGAAAGAAAGAAAGAAAAAGGAAGGAAGAGAAAGAAAGAAAAAGAAAAAGGAAGGAAGGAAGAGAAAGAGAAAGAAAGAAAAAGAAAAAGGAAGGAAGGAAGAAAGAAAAAGAAAGAAAAAAAGAAGGAAAGAAAGAAAGAAAGAAAGAAAGAAAGAAAGAAAGAAAGAAAGAAAGAAAAAAGAAAGAAAGAAAGGAAGGAAGGAAGGAAGGAAGGAAGTCAATCAATCATGTGTTTGTAACTCTGTTATATAATGGTACTGGCAGAGGCACCATGAACAAGACCAGTCATATCAAGGGAAGTGTCAGTTCCGTAAGTACAAACCACGGCTCTCTCCAGGAAGGAAGGACTTTTGTGTAATTGCTCTCCTTATGGAATTTACCATCAATCTTTGCTGCTGATGGGCTGGACATCCAAAGAGGCAGTAGTCATATCGGCTTTAGTAAGAAAGAGCCTTAATTGTTGGGCCATGCACATGTCCTCCCCTTAATATCACTAAGAAAGTCCTTGTTGTCATCTGACTGCAAAGTAACCCACTTCCAGAGTTCTGAGGAGCTGCATTCTAGACTTTCTTCTTACATCAAATTTCTTAGCTTGGTTTCCCTCAAAACCTGAGACAACTACTTATGTGGGGACAGGTAATTTGGGATGTGATCCTAGTGAGAAACAATGAGAGAATGGAAGGGAGAATATAGACATAATACAAGAATGTGTTATTGAAGTTGCTGTTGTGAGAAACCAGAACCCAATTTCACTGGGACTTTTTGAAAAACACACAGAATGGCCTACAAAACTATCTTGCTCAAGTGTAAGAAGCAAGAGCATTTATCCATCAGTGACTGTCACCCCTTGGTTGAAGGGCCCCAGATGTGTTGACTTACCAGCACTTCAAAGCTGTGCAGGACAGGAGCTGAGAGAGCTACTGCTGGAATGTGTGAAGTCCGAAGAACCTCAGGGAAGAAAGCAAAGAGGCCTGGTAAATGTGGGAGAGGAGAAGCTGTCAGGGAGAAGAATGTGTAAGATTGCATGAAACTGCCCCCCACAACCAAGTCAGAAATGAGAGGTGATGCTCAGAAGATGTGAATCAAGACACCAAAGGTTTCTGATACTACAGAATTATTAATTTCTTAAAAATTTAAAACCAATTCATAGGACCAGGCGCAGTGGCTCACGCTTATAATCCTAGCACTTTGGGAGGCTGAGGTGGGTGGATCACTTGGGGTCAGGAGTTCGAGACCAGCCTGGTCAATAAGGTGAAACCCCATCTCTACTAAAAATACAAAAATTAGCCGGGCATGGTGACAGGCGCCTATAATCCCAGCTACTCGGGAGGCTGAGACAGGAGAATGGCTTGAACCCAGGAGGCAGAGGTTGCAGTGAGCTGAGATGTGCCACTGCACTCCAGCCTGAGCGACAGAGTGAGCCTCTGCCTCAATCAGTCAATCAGTCAATAAAAAACAATTCATAGCTGCAAGTCTTTAATTTTGTTTACCACGTGGTTATCACAGGAGTAAATGGGAAGTATTGTAAGAGAGTCGATATTTATTAAACACCTACTCTATAATAAGTACTACTCCAGATAGTCTCTCCTACATTTCACATTTGACATGTAAAAATATTTCACTGACATGGTAGTCAGAGAAGAGCCAGGTGACATTTGAGCAGTGACTGGAAAAAAATGAGGAAGCAAGCTCTGTGGACATCTGAGAGGGCAGTGTTCCATGCAGAAGGAACAACAGCTACAAAGCACTGATGCTTGCTGTGCTTGGGGGCAATTAGAAAAGCTCTGAAGTGTAGCTTGGATGTGATCCATCAAGAATAAGTTCAGTCTTAAAAGTCAGGGTAAGAATTTTGAACTTTAATCTGAGTAAAATGGTAAACCGCTAAAAGGTTCTGCACAGAGGAGTGGCATATTCAGGTTCTAATGGGATCACTCCAGCTGCTGAATGCAACTATGTAGAGAAATAAAGGGAATGCAGAAAGCTATGCTCACGGCTACTGCAATTGTCCAGGCATGAGCAGATGGTACCTTGTAACACCTCTTGTACCTTAAGTTGTTTTATACTGCCATTTACTTTCTCATGGAAACCCCTAATTTCTTCAGGACAGGGAGCTCATACGCATAGTTTACGATATGAGCTATACATATGCCCATTTAATAAATACTTGATAAATAACCACCATATAAATGGCTAACAGTAGTACTAAATTCACATTATACAGTGACGATATGGCATCACTGAAAGGTTTTGTCATTTACTATCTCTTTAGGAAATTTAAGTTCTCTAAGCCTTAATTCCAACATTCCTAAGTGTTGCTAACACCAGCCTAACAACGTTGGCAAGTATTAAACGAAAATGTCTACCCAGACCTTTTTTTCTCACCACCAAAGTAGGTGCCTTGCTTTCTTACAAACCCTCGATCCCAATACAAGACACAAATGCTACCCTTTCTGAAGAGTGCCTGTAAAATTTTAAAAGTTGTCCATAACTGACTGGATTCTAACATACATATTAATCCAATTCATCCCTTTCTGGTATTCAAGGCATGCTTTCAAAAATTGTCCATCTTCGTTACAGTAATATTTTCCTTAATTATTCTCTGAAAACAGCTCATCCCCAAACCGTCTTGGTTTTTACGTTATTACATCTCAGTGGTGATGGATGAGGCCCTAAACGCGGGGAAAACCTTTTACAAAAGTTTTGATGGCTGGTCCTCAAGCTTTGAGATTTACCTTCCAAGAATTAAGCAGCACTATCGAAACAATGCTGGCAACATTTTTATGAGGTTGCAAGGACCACGGTTGCTGCAGCTACAGGATGAGTTATAACGTCAGAAGCAACCCAAGCGTTACTTCAGGCCCATCTTCACCGGAGAAGCCCGTATGAATCAGGCAAAAACATAAAAACAGGTTCTGTGACTTTGCCGTATCTCATTTAGATCAAGTAGCACGCAGAAGGAAGACAAGGATTTTAAAATCTGGCTCCAACATTCTCCACTTGGTCGCGTTCTCAAATCTCAGCCCAGGGCCGCTGACGTAAAGTCGCCTCTCTCGTGGGCACCACGGGCTCGAGGGTAGCCGGCAGCTGAAACCCGAGGGGCTTCAGAGGCTTGGAGGCCAGGAGCAGGCAGAGCGCCGATGGGATAATGAGATTCTCCAGCAGATCGGCGCTCACCGACCTACTCCATTTCAGTGGGTAGAGGTAAAGGCTGAAAGGCGACCCTCGCACCGCCCGGCCCACCTAGGCAGTGCCGGCCTAGCGTCTCTACCCCATAGAGCATGCGCGGGAGGTAACGGCCCGCCCGCCACCGGCCACACAGGCCTGTCGGGAGGCGGGGCCACGCGTCTGCGCACGCGCGCAGGGACACATAGGCGGAAGTGGCCTGCGGGCGCCGGAGTTGAGAGTGCTTTCCGGGGAGGCGACCGCCGCGGTGGAAAGTGCAGGAGTGGGCGAGGAGGAGGAGGAAGAGGAGGTGATGGCGACGGACCAGGGGAGGGGGAGATGCTCCGTCTAGCTCAGACGCCACGCAGGCTGCCGTCACCCTTCCGGGTGACATACCGGCCTTGGGGTACGCGTGCCTTCGGGGCCTTTCCTGTGTTTGGGACCCAGATCTCCTCTCCTCCAGAAAACCTTGACACTGCCCATCTTCCTCATCCAGAAGGAGCGTTCGAGGAATGGATGAGGTCGGGATGGAAGAAACGGGTGATTCCCTTTTTTGAAAGAGCGGAAACCGGCCGGGCGGTTTCCAGGGAGGAGCATCTGTTCCTCCTCGCCCGTTTTTCGCCCTCGGGCTGGCGAGAACTCCCTCAGGTCCCAATCCGTGGACTCGCAGGGGTGAGGTGACCTCAAGGGGTCTTTTACGCTGTTCTCGGGGTCTCTGGAGAACTGTCAGTCACCTGGATACCTCTAGACTGTATTTACAGTTAACTGTTTCCTCGTTCCGTGTTTATTAAATAGGGGCACTCCAAGGTACTCTTTTCTCCATTTGGCTTGCAGTAGAATGTGATTGTTCTGGCTGGGCTATTAAGTTTATGGCATAAACTTCCACTAGAAGTTCTGCAAGTTTCCTCCAGTCTTTGCAACTGAATTATCTCTCCCGTCTTTTTATTATTTAAGGAATATTGAAAGTAAAAGATGGAATGATTTGGTGCGCTAACAAAATCTTAAGTGTTGAGTATCTGCATTTTTTCTACATTAGGATATCAGAAGCCTAGAATTGTTTTTTGATTAAACGTTTTTCTAAGTGAATTGAGATAGTTTGGAACTTGGAAGAGAGGCAGCATTTCAAAATAATTTAGACAGCGTTATTTTTACTTAATTACTTAATATATAAAGTCCTAGTGTTAACTTTTTCTCTTGGAAAAAAAAAAGAATAGTCTTCAAACATTAGCACAGGGTTTCTCCACCTTTGTGTAATGATGTGTGTACAAAGAAATGAGATGGAACTTTGTTTTTTCTGTTTTATAATCGTACACCATAGGCCATGATTGATTCCGGAGCGCAGTTAATCAAGGCATAATGGCATGGTAAGATTCTTTTATTTGTAACGTTGAGTGTGGCAAAGTATAGTTAAAATCACGTTTTTTCAGGTTAATGACACCGTAATGACTTTTTTTTCATATTCTACCTTTTTTTGGTGTGGGACTTTTGTCCTTCAGGTCGGAAAACTCAAAAATAAACTGAAATAATTGTGACTTCAATAGGTCATTGTAACTCAACATTATCACTAATTTTAATTTTTAAATATACATTGTATGCCGGAAATGCTACCTTTTTATTCCATTTTAGCAGTTGAAGTTGAATATCTGTGTTGAATTTAGGAAGAGGCCTCAGGCAATTATACACACCTGTGATTTTTAAAATATATATATATATATTTTAGTTTCACTGATTACTGTGAGCTTCAAAAGCAAAGCACAATGTTGATCATTTAGTCTGAAAACTAATTTTAATTCCATGCTTCATTTTTGCTCCTTGCATCACAAGGAGTTTGGCCCATTTTTTTTTTTAGATGATGGTTAGTATCAGTCATTAATGTTTGAAGTGGAAGGGATATGGCAGACATTCCCCAATGATCACAGTTATTAGGTATCAGAGGTCTTTATCAGTCACACTTTCTCACCAGTGATGTTCTTATTAATAAAACAGCATTCTAAATGCAAGGCTTTGGTGGGCAAGTTTTATGAGACTGATGCCTCAGGCAGAGGAAACAAATTTATTTTCATGTTCATTTCAAATGTTTTGTGGGGAGTTTCAGTAGCAATGTCGGTATTTTGGCATACATGTAGAAAAGACAGTGCTAGAGAGATTTCATTCTGCACATATGGCCTAGATCTGCAGCACATAAAGTTGCCAAGAAGTGTATTAGAAGTGGTAAAGTGTTGGAAAGGAGCTGAATAACGTTGATTAAATAAATGGTGCTTGCTAAACTGTGGTAGAGTCCTTCATTTAATCTTACATTTTTGTTATGTGCCAGAACATCATAGGAAGATATCTCTTGCCTTAAGGATTTCATAGGCTTTTAGGAGAAACAAGTATAAAAACGAAAAAGCTATACCATTATCATTTAGGAATTTGAAAAATATGTATAATATGATTGAGTCCAGGACATCAACTCGTTTTTAACTTCGAGGCCTTATTCATGGATGCAGCATGATCAGACTTCACGTTGAGCCATGTGACAGATGGGTCAGAAAGGGAAGAATTGATTATAAACAGTCTCGTAATCTAGGCAAGAGAAAATGGCTGCCTGATGGAGTAGGGTCCGAAACAGATATTAGATATAGTTATAGAGGTAGAGTTAACAGGAATCTTGGCAAAATATAGAATGTGAGGAAAAGGAAAGATTCTTAAGATGACTCCCAGATTTTTAGCTTGTGTTTCATACTAGGTACTGTTAAGTGAGATTGGGAATATAGGAACAAACAGTAGATTTGTTTTGAGGGGAAAATAATCAGCTTTGGCCATTTTAAATATGAAGTGCCAGCAGAGCTTATGAGTAGAGGTATCAAAGAAGCATTTAGACGTAGAGCTCTGGATCTCAGGAGAGAAGGCAGCGTTGGAAATTCAGGTCTGTATTTCCAGCTGCACATCAAAGGGGTGAGTCAGCTTGAGCACACCATATCACCCTAGCAATATTTCTAAAAAGTTGAAGGATGACAGCTAACACACTTATGGACTGTCATATGCCAGGCAATTTTACATTTATTTCATATAGTCCTAACCAAAATCCTGTGATAGGCACATTTTTAACTCCTCCCACTTTTGAAGGTGCAGAACCTAAAGCTCAGAAAAGTTAAACGATTTGCCCAAGGCTCCTCAGCTAATAAGTAGTAAAGCCAGATCTTGAACTCATATCTGTCAAAATTCCAAAGCATGGGGAAAGCATTATGCTATACTGCTTTCTTATACTATTACCTATAATTGTATTGAGTCATTACAATATGCTTGGCAGTTTACTAAATTACAAACATCTCAGAAGAAGGTGACTTTGGGAAAGCGTGACCTTCTGGAGAAATGTTTTGATGCCAATAAAAGCAGGAAAGAAAGATATTTTCTAGAAGTTTTATTTATTCTGTATGTATGTGTAAATATGTAAGCATTATTTGTAAATTTTCCCCACTCTTTTTCTATAAGATTTTCAGTTTTGCTCATAAAGTTTGCCAGTACCACCATCCATTTCAAAAATCGTATCCAAGCAGAAGGTGAGTGATTGCAAGCTGAAGTTTGAGGGTATCAAGAGGAAGGATCAGTTTATTTGGTTCATCTGAATATCAGGTCAGAGTATATGCCAGGTACCAAGGACACAGAGACAAATAAGATTTGAATCTTGCCTTTCAAGTTCTCTTTTCTAATAACTGGGGGGATTAGTGATGGTGTCACAAAGGAGGGGATATTAAAGCTGAACTTCCAAACCTGACCTTGAGAAAGAAGACCTCAGGCTGAAAGGACATCATGAACAGAAGGCAGCGGTGTTTTAAAGTCCCTGGTGTATTTCAGGAATGAAACATGGGTGGTTTAGGGCTTTATTGAGAGTGGAGGGAGAGCAAACTTAGAAACCTATGTAAGGCCGGGTTTATTTGAATGGTGCACTATATCCATGCTCACACATAGAAAAGAGTAAATTGTTAAGGTTTTCGTCTCTTCTACATTCAAGCACAGGTTTGACCAAATATTTAGGAGAGATAATTTAAAGCATGGTTTTAAAAGAAAGTCACATCTCAAAGATACCCTGCAAGATTACATAAAAAGTCTTACAAATGACAGTGATTGAAACATAATGTGGGAAGCAAGAACAAAGGAAAGTGAAGAATAAACAAGAGGAACACAGTAAACTTCATGAAACAACTTTTCTATTTAGAAATAAGGCAGGTGCCCTATAAAATGTTGTGGTGGCTGCATATTTTTAGTTACAAGTGGTATTCAGATCCTTGACCCCTCCTTTAATTCCTAAGGATGACCTGGTTAACCTCTGTAAATTAGCAAACTAGAAGTGATCATGAAGAGGCGACTCTAATTTTGGCCATTTTAAGCCATCTTGTAACAGTTTAAAAAAACATTACCAAAGGAAAACTCACTGTCAAAATTATTCTTATTTCTCTTCGTGCCGCAGAGTTTAAATTTTTGTTCCCACTGGAATTAAAAACAGATGAGTCGTTTCTAAGAAAATAACTTTTTCTTTTACATAGGTTTATTCTATACTTTGTCATAATTCTTCAGTCTTTCCTCAGTCTTTACATGGAGTTCATTTTTTCAGTTTATATAAATCCAAAGAGAAATTGATGGCTTCATAATTTTTTTTAGACTGACAAAAAATGACATGTTTTCTCCAGCCTTTTACATCCCAGAAGAATGTAAATTAAAATGATTTGTTCCAGAGGAAGAAAACATTTTTTAACCTAAGAGATGCTACTGCTGAAGCATATTGTGCTTTCTGTAGTCTCTGATAAATCTAGCTTTTTAAGGACCTTAGGTTTGGGGTTTCTTTGTTTTGTTTTTTTCATTTATTTTCTAGAGACAGGGTCTGGCTCTGTCGCCCAGGCTGGAGTGCAGGGGTGCAATCATAGATTACTGCAGCCTCAAACTCCTGGACTCAAGTGATCATCCTGCCTCAGCCTCCCAAGTAGCTAGGACTACAGGCATGCACCACCATGTCCAGCTAATTTTTTTATTTTATTTTATTTTATTTTATTTGGTAGAGAGAGGGTCTTGCTATGTTGCCCAGGCTGGTCTTGAACTCCTGGTCTCAAGCAACCTCTCTGCTTCAGCCTCCCAAAATGTTGGGATTACAGGCATGAGCCACCACACCTGGCCTTCATTTTTTTAGTTTATTTTTTAAATGTCATTAGCAAATATATCTTAGAATTGTCTTAGTATTTAAAGGAGAATTACTTATTTTTTACTCCTCTACAAGTGAAGATTGACTTTAATGTTGAGAATGTTATGCATCAACTATATATAGACACAAAGACATGTTTAGTTCTTTGATGAAATAACTAGCTTTTGTTGCTGTGGAAATAAGTATGGTTTATATTCAGTTTAATGATGTACTAATCTTTATCAGCTGTAGACAAATTGTTTAAAGATTGTAGGCATATTGTTTTTGGTGATTTGGAACCTAGAATACAGGAATTAATATACTAATATCCAGAGAGAAGCAGACATTTGTATAACTTTAAAGTATGATTTGGAATATTATTTGGAGGATTAAACTTTATCATGTAAATGTTTTAATTGCTTATTTCCTTCTCTAGGACTTGACACAGCAAGCAAAAGACATACAGAACATAACAGTCCAGGAAACCAACAAAAATAACTCTGAAAGCATTGAATGCAGCAAAATAACAATGGATCTCAAGTTCAACAATTCCAGGAAATATATTTCTATCACTGTGCCATCCAAAACCCAAACAATGTCACCACACATCAAGTCAGTTGACGACGTTGTGGTACTTGGCATGAATCTCAGCAAGTTTAACAAACTTACTCAGTTTTTCATATGTGTTGCTGGAGTTTTTGTATTTTACCTAATTTATGGGTATTTACAGGTAAAAAAGTTATATGTTTGTAATATGTTAATTATTTATAATAATTGCGGTCAGTATGGGCATTTACTAGTTTTGCCCAAGATAGTCACTTAGGGGATACTGGCTGATTCATAAATTTGAATTTTTTAGTATAGAGTAGAAAAGAGCTTCTTAACAGATCAAAATTCAAGAGTTAAATAATTTAAGTGGGGAGGAGGCATATGTAGAGACTATCTTGAAAAATTTTCATTATGAAAATTAAGTTTTAAATATTTAACAAAATGTGTGCTTCCAAGAGAAAGCAATGATTCACGTATTGATTGGTATCTTGGAATATTATTGAATGATAGTGCAGTTTACTTGATTCTTGGAGCTCAATAATAAAAGATCATTTTTGCAAAAATGTATCAGGATATTTTATGGTTTTCTAAAGGTATCTCTTTAATCCTATAATATTTGAATTATTTCTTTTTTAAACACCTCTTATATTCTCATTCTTATTGGTTTTGTCTTCTAACTTTGCCAGAATCTTATTGTTCTGTGATTTTTTGCTGGCACAAAACATTTCTGATACTGCAACAATTTGTCTTATATTTACATTATATTTGGAAAAGTTATATACCTTTGGCTAGGAGCAGATTTCTGACCTTCAAAGACATGGGCTGGATGGGTGAGGATCCAGGCTAGTGAAAACAGGATGTTGGAATGGGTTCTAATTTTATGAATGGTCATTTAATTAGTGGATATTTTCCCATAACTTGAGAAAACCTTTGTAATTCAAGGAAAGGAAAATGATGTATTTTCTTAAAACACAGATATTTCCAGTATTCTTTAGTACTAAAAAGTTAGTGAATTTAAAAATTGTTGTATTCTTTTTCATTGTCTTGTAGAGATGATCATCAAGGGAAATGTAAGTGAACATGGAATTGTGACTGTTTTTTAGTTAGCTTGCAAGAATGCTATGAACAATATTAATGTAAAACAAAAATGAATTAAAAATTTTAATATTTATAATAACTGATATTCCACTAGTAGGTGATATAAAACTTGAGATGCCACAATGAAGAACAATTAAAAATAGAGATTAGAATTTCTTGTTGAGAAACATTTTAGAAACATTTTTTTCTTCAGCATACCACTGTTACCAAATAGCTTGGGAACAGAGTTAGCCATTGCAATGGAAAATGAATTTGAAATTCACCCTGTAAGTGTCATTAAATAAATTTTCTCTAATTAATAATCAGATATTTTAGTTTATAATTGGTTTATGCAAAGTTTTTTAAATTACACAAACCCCTGCTAATTGTATTTATAACTTAACCACTTTGATTTTGTAAAAACTGACATTGCTACTATTACTTATAATTACATATCAAAATAGTTCAGAGAAAATGGTTGGGGTTTGGTAATGAAGTGTTTTTTATAGATGTATGCATATTCATACATACACTTCATTTATTCAATTTGATTTATTGATCAATTTGACTTATTCAATTAAAATTAAACCAGATAACTATTAGAATAACTCTTAGTGACTTGTTAAGAATGGCTTATTAATAACTGATATAAATATTGCTTTATAATATAACATGTTTAGGCAAATTAACCATTTCCTCTAAAAGAAGAAGGTTTATATCATCTATGGCACAAGAATTTCAAAAAATAACATTACCAATATGAAAGAGCTTCTAACCTCTCTAATTTACATTTTGTTGTTGTTGGAGGTGGGGCTTGGTTTCTTTAAAAATGTTGTGTTTCTAAGAATTTATTTTTAGGAAATTAGTGTGCTGCCTTGGACTTAACAGTGTTCATGTGTCTTTTGACAGGAATTAATATTTTCAGTGGAGGGTTTTAAGTCCTGTGGCTGGTACCTTACCTTAGTGCAGTTTGCCTTTTACTCCATATTTGGCCTAATAGAACTTCAGCTTATTCAGGACAAAAGGAGGAGGTATGTGGTTTGTTTTTATTTTTTGATATTTCTATATTAGTTGAATTTTTTTGGCATACTGAATATGCATGAAATTTATACTTCTATTAACAAAACATGTGATAGGCACGAACTCTTAGTGTAACTAACTTAATACTAAATACATTTTATTCATTTATACACTGAAAAAAATAAAGTCTTAAATGCAGTATTACAAAATAAAAAAATATTAGCTTTAGGCTCAACTTAGTGTTATATGTTCTTACAACATGATAAAAAACACAATGTACATACTTGATTTGTATAAATTCTGCTGAAATAGGTGCAGTTACTGATTTGTAGTACAACTAACATCACAGTGGTGAAATGAAATATCAGTACAGGTTGAGCATCCTAATCCAAAAATCCTAAATCCAGAAATGCTCCAAAATTAGAAAAGTTTTGAGTGCCAATGTGACACAAGTGGAAACTTCCAAACATAAGTACTTAACACAAATTTTGTTTTGTGCACAAAATGATATAAAATGTGCACCATGACCAGCTCTGGGACAGCTGGGATGCAGGGCACCAAGTTCTTAAGCTGCACACAGCATAGTGACCTTGGGTGCAGCCCACAAAACCTTTCTTTCCTCCTAGGCTTCCTGGCCTGTGATGGGAGTGGCTGCCATGAAGACCCATGACATGCTCTAGAGACATTTTCCCCATTGTCTTGGGGATTAACATTCAGATCCTTGTTAGGCAAATTTCTGCACCCAGCTTGAATTTCTCCTCAAAAAATGGGTTTTTCTTTTCTACTGCATCGTCAGGTTGCAAATTTTCTGAACCGTTTTCCTCTGTTTCCGTTTTAAAATGGAATGCTTTCAACAGCACCCAATTACCTTTTGAAGGCTTTGCTGCTTAGAAATTTCTTCCACCAGATACACTAAATCATCTCAAAGTTCCATAGATCTCTAGGGCAGGGGCAAAATGCCACCAGTCTCTTTGCTAAAACATAACAAGAGTCACCTTTGCTCTAGTTCCCAACAAGTTCCTCATGTCCATCTGAGACCACCTCAGTCTGAACCTTATTGTTCATATCACTATCAGCTTTTTTGCCAAAGCCATTCAACAAGTCTCTAGGTGGTTCCAAACTGTCCTACATTTTCCTGTCTTCTTCTGAGCCCTCCAAACTCTTCCAGCCTCTGCCTGATACCCAGTTCCAAAGTTGCTTCCACATTTTTGGGTCTCATTTCAGCAACATCTCACTCCTGGTACCAATTTACTGTTATTAGTCCGTTTTCATGCTGCTGATAAAGACATACCCGAGACTGGGAAGAAAAAGAAGTTTAATTGAACTTACAGTTCCACATGGCTTGGGAGGCCTCAGAATCATGGCAGGAGTCAAAAGTCACTTCTTACATGGTGGTGGCAAGAGAAAATGAGGAAGATGCAAAAGCGGAAACCCCTGATAAAACCATCAGATCTTGTGAGACTTATTCACTACCATGAGAACAATATGGGGGAAACCACCCCCATGATTCAAATTACCTCCCACTGGGTCCCTCCCACAACAGATGAAAATTATGGGAGTACAATTCCAGATGAGATTTGAGTGGTGACACAGCGCCAAACCATATCAAAAATGTTCTATAAAATTACCTTCAGGTTATGTGTATAATGTATATATGAAACATAAATAAATCTCATATTAAGACCTGTGTCCCATTCCCCAAGATACCTTACTATGCAGATGCAAATATTCCAAAACCTGAAAAAAATCGAAATTTGAAACACTCTGGTCGCCAGCATTTTGGATGAGGGATACCAAGTCTGTATCTATTGTTATTCTGCTTTTTTAGAATGTGAAGTTATATTTTGTGGGATATGCCCCAGCTAACATTGCCATATGATGTCCGATAGCTGAGGTTGCGTTCTTAAGCATTAGAGAAACAAATCTCATTCCTTTTCATCAAGACCAAATGTGCTTGTTTGACAATATCATTTCAGGTAGCAACCATCTAGATTTGAGAAATATCTTGATATATCTTTAATGGCATCTAGAACAATATGCAATAAAACTTAGTCTCTGATTATAAACAGAAAGTGGTTAGGAATTTGAATATAAAATGTTCTTGGTTAATGTAAGAAGCGTGCTCCTTCTGTCGTACCCTAATGTGTGTATATATCGTGTATCTATTGGGCAGTTTAAATGTAATAACGACTGTAATACTGACATACCTTGATACAAATGTTTAATCCTTTAGTGAAGATTTCAAAAATTGTGCAGCTTTTTTTTTAATCATAAAATGGTGTTGAAGTTTGTATCAAGGTAACTACAGTTTTACATATTTAAATCTATATTACAGGTTTCTTCATGGGTCTAATTTTGCCTCTCAACCTGTCTTTATTGCCAATAAATTATTGTAGCAATTATTGTAAAAATATTTGAACCTTAGAATATCATCTTCATTATTTTTATGTTCTATCATGATTCTCCATGATAGAATCATGGAGGCAAGCTGATGAAATCCAACTTCCTCATTTTACCAATGAGAAAACAAAGACCTAGAGGAGTACTGGGAATAGCCATAGGTGATAGAATAGGTAATTAAATATATCTGTCAAGACTAATATATAAGGAAGCTTGATGATGATTTACTACTTATTACAAACTACTGGGCCTTCTAAGGTAAGATTGCTTCTAAGGTAAAAGACACTAATACTATCTTTGTAGGTGAAAAATGATACAATGATGATGCATGTTCTGTTACATTTCAGAAAGAAACACCTCCCTATCAGCTACCCCGATGAGAGGGGAGGGGGCCTCAAGCCATGTTTATCCCAACTTTTAAATCACGTGACCATAACATATTTTAAAATAAAATAATTTGTACTTGATTTAAATATAAGTGAAATAATTTGGGAGAATAATTTATGTATTTATAATAAATGTAATTATGAATTGAAACCTTTCTGAATTTATTTCTGCAAATACACCCATATCTGAATTTATTTAATGGTACTGCTACTCGTTAGACCTTTAATTAGCTAAACTCTTTGCTGTTGTTATTTTTTTCTTCTTCCCACATTTATGTGAATACCGACATACTGGAATAAGTACATCAATACTCGTTGAGAATTTGGAGTTAGAAACATGGGTTTGGGTCTTGGCACTTGGGTCTTATTACATCTGTCAAGACCTCAGAGAAGTTTCTATAATACTCTAAATTTTATCTTGAGGCTCATATGTGGTAATGCGTGCTAAAGTACATCATAAACTGTAATATCCTAAATATACTGCTTATTATTTTTCATCAAAGAATACCTTGTAACATTATTATTAATTAGTATAAGTTTCTAATTAAGGAGAGTGCTCAGATTTGTCTTGAAGAGGTTTTTAAAGTTAAAATTTTCTCCCCGGCCAGGTGCAGTGGCTCACGCCTGTAATCCTAGCACTTTGGGAGGCCGAGGCAGGTTGATCACCTGAGGTTAGGAGTTCGAGACCAGCCTGGCCAACATGGTGAAACCCCGTCTCTACTAAAAATATAAAATTAGCTGGACATGGTGGCGGGCACTTGTAATCCTAGCTACTCAGGAGGTCAGGAGGCTGAGGCAGGAGAATGGTTTGAACCTGGGAGGCGGAGGTTGCAGTGAGCCAAGATGGCGCCACTGCACTCCAGCCTGGGCAACAAGAGCGAGACTCCGTCTCAAAAAAAAAATTTTCTCCCCATTTCTAAGGAAGCAAGCAATTGATGTATTAAATAAAATAGAAATAGTGAGTATCCTGGAGGCAAGCTGATCAAATCTAATTTCTTCATTATACCAATGAGAAAACAAAGACCTAGAGGACTGCTCAGAATTTTTTGAGCTCCTTTTGGAGCTACTTTTGGATTTAGTTCCCCTGTCAGGCTGGTTTTCTTTCTACCTGTACTGTGCTACTTTTCTACTCATTCCTTGTAATTCTTCTGACTTGAATTTTTATTTTCTGCCAATGATTTGCCATTTATCTTTGAGAAAATCTGACCACCTTGACTTGTATCATTTTACCTGGCGAAGTGGTGCTCCACCATCACTGATGATATCCCAATGAGGGTCAAACCCCATGGATGGCATGAACGCATTTACACTGATGCATATGGGCATGCCAAGTTGTTTCCACGTGGATTTTCATGGTTAACTACTATATTAGTAGTTAAGTAGAAAAAAACCCCTCAGAATCGAATGTAAATGATGCATTTTAATTGACTTTTTCCAGTAAATTATTTTACCTTATATCTAACCATATATAAGATGAGAAATTTTGTTGCCTTGATTTCAATGTGAACACAAATTCTAAAATGGAAATTACATCTAACTCTCCAGCATTATCAGTATGAATAGTGCCTGATTGTGTCTGTGTTCGTCATACCAGTAGACAAGATTATTAGTTTAGACCATTAAATATCTAGTCAAAGTGAGCATATGCTCACAGTAATGGCTCAAAATTCTGAAGATGCTAAATTAAGAATCTCCTTTAGGAACTTTAGATAGAGCCAAAGTTAAAAGACTTGAAATCATGAGAGAGTCAGATACCTCATCTTAAAAGTTGATTATTATAACATAGAATATAGAGAGATGATCTATAAGATATTATAATAAAAATTACATCTAGGGTTTTAAATCACATGAACTTTTCCTAGAGAAAATCTTGGGTTATTTTAGCAGAATGGATAGATGTATTTTTCCTAATGCTAGATGGAAACATTAGGAAACAGAACAACAATTCAAGAGTTAAAAATTAGTTTTAAAATGTTAAGGTACCTTTTACCATTATGGAGGCCAACATTAGCTGGGCATGGTGGCGCACACCTGTAGTCCCAGCTACTCAGGAGGCTGAGGCAAAAGAATTTCTTGAACCCGTGAGGCAGAGGTTGCACTTAGCTGAGATCATGCCACTGCACTCCAGCCTAGGCAACAGAGCGAGACCTTATCTCAAGCAAACAACAACAAAAGAAGCTCTTTTTCTCTAACTTAAGATGGTTAAGATGGTTTTTATTTGTGGCTAGAACTGCTGTTAAAAAAAAAAAAAAAACCTTTTGTCAACATTTATACCTTCAGTAAAAATCTAAACTCTTTTTTACATAATTGAGTGGCCTCGTTTATGATTGACTAAATAAAGGTAAATTGTTATTTTTATAAACTTTTTTATACAAGAGCATTACAGTTTTTAAATAGTGATATTTTTTACTGATATTTCCAGAAATAGTAACCAGAAATTAGAAAAGTAATTAGACATTTACACAATGTGAACACATTATCTTTTAGTAGTATGAATTGGGTCCCAAAATGAAGGTTTTAAAAATTGTCTTTTACAGAATACCAGGAAAAACCTACATGATAATAGCTTTTCTAACTGTGGGTACTATGGGGTTATCAAACACTTCCTTGGGCTACCTGAATTACCCTACCCAAGTCATCTTCAAGTGCTGCAAATTGATTCCTGTTATGCTAGGAGGAGTTTTTATTCAAGGTATAGTAATGATATGTTTTTATACTATTTAAAACTAATAGGCTATGTTATGGCATCTAGCATTAGGAAAAACATTAAACTTCTATTACATTTTCAATGAGCATTCTAGATATTGTAACAATTCTGAATTATGTCTTACCAAAATAAGGTATTCTAAAAACACTGATGGCCAGGCACAGTGGCTCACGCCTGTAATCCCAGCACTGTGGGATGCCAAGGTGGGCAGATCACAAGGTCAGGAGTTCGAGACCAGCCTGGCCAATATGGTGAAACCCTGTCTCTACTAAAAATACAAAAATTAGCTAGGCATGGTGGTGTATCCATGTAGTCTCAGCTACTTGGGAGGCTGAGGCAGACGAATTGCTTGAACCCAGGAGGCAGAGGTTGCAGTGAGCCGAGGTCACACCACTGCACTCCAGCCTGGGCGACAGAGCGAGACTCCATCTCAAAACAAACAAACAAACAAACAAACAAACACTTATATGCCTTAGTTTCTGAAGTCAGTAATTTGGACTTAAGAAAAAGAAAAGATAATACTTTGTTTTTATTATTTTATTTTGGAATCTACCACATTTCCAGCAATACTATATTTACGTATTAAAGGTCTAGTTCAAAAGTACGTGGAAAGGTCCCTTTTTTCAGTTCCTTCATTCTTCTACTCTCCAGGGGTCTACCCTTCACTTCCATTGTGCATGGGCAGTTCTCATATTGAAGTAAAGTTTAATCTGAGCAGAACTGCGTTTTTACCAACCTGCTGGCTTTAGTGATGTTTAGAGCCCCAGCTAAGTGACAAGTTTTGTGGAAATACGAGTAAAAGAGGAGGCAGTGATAGCAACAAACAGTGGAAGTAGCTTCTGTTGTTCACATTAATTGTCACGAGGAATATTCGTGTTTTAATAGTCGGGTGTTTCTGTATCACTGAAGTTCTTATACAGCCTGATATCATTTATGCATTAGATACCATCCCAGAATAAGCCTTTAAAAATGAAAGTGTTGTCAACTACTTCACGTATCATTTCAGGATAACTTCATATAGGAAAAAATAATTGACCTCAATCCCTATTAAAAATCACATTTATTGTCCCAACTGACTAGGCATATATAATATTGTCGTTATAAACCTTACAAAAAAGTCATACTACATTTTATTTTTAAAATAATGATATATGAAAATAATTTAATTTTCACCTGCCTGGAAGTTATCACATTATGATATTTGCAAACTTAAACAGTTATGTAACCAGACTCATTAATCTGGTTACTTCGTAAATTTACAAACTACGAGAAAATTCATAACCTTTTATTATGCACAAAGTAAAACAGGAACTAAATTTCCAGGAAATTTTTTAAATGTTTGTGGATGTGCATTATTCTTGCTGTCAGTTTTTGCCAAAGTATGTATTTTAGTGTCACTATTATACCAGATAAAGTAGCTCTCGTTTCTAACTTACAGGGACATATTGCTGCCCATTGGTAGTTTTCAGAAGCCCTCTTGTGACTGTCTTCTGCCTTGACCTAAGTGTTCACGTTTTTGGCATTGGATATAAAAAAACAAATCCATGTTCTACTTAACACATAGAGCAAATATAAAGCTGGGTGGGTATTTGCATAATGAAGTGGACTTACGTTTGTTTTATACAGGAAAGCGTTATAATGTTGCAGATGTGTCTGCTGCCATATGTATGAGCCTTGGCCTGATATGGTTTACCCTCGCTGACAGCACAACTGCACCAAATTTCAACCTGACGGGTAAGTAATTTATTTATATTCCTAGCTTTTATAGGCTTTTTAGTTTAGAATACGAATTTCGAATATTTTGTAAGCATTTTAAATGATAGTGTGACAGCTGCAATTTTCATATCTAACATAAAGCTTTTGGACTTTCCATATAAGATGTAGTGAAAATATCACAGCTCTGTAGATAAAACAATTTGTTTGTTTTTTAGTGTGCATGCATTTTGATGCTTCTCAGGAATGAAGTGTTGACTCAGATTTGTTTATGTCAGTTGTACCTTTATTATAATTATGTCGTAACTCAGTATTACGTTATTCAAAAATGAATATGAACAAATAATTGTTTTTGTGAAAACTGAGTTAACTGACACAACTTGATTGACAAGCAATAAAATCACTATTGAATGAGGTGTGGGTAAAACCACTGTGAATATTGGAGGGAAGCTCATAAACATATGAAAGGATTCTGTACTCTGCAGGGCACTTTTAAACAAAAACACCTTGGAAATCATGGAAAATGTGTGCTGAGTGTGTTTATACAAAGGAGAAAATATGGAATTCTATTCAGGACCCATGCTCAAAGAAAAAGGCCCTGACAGCAGCGTGCCTGTTTATGTGATTTAAATTAAACATTTTAGTAATAATAGGGTTTTTCAAAAATGACTTTTCTCTTCATCTGTTTTTTTTTTTTTTAATTAACTGAATAGCCACCAATCCCAATAGATAGATATCCTAAGAGTTTCTTCTACACTTTCAGAACTAGTGGAACTATTAGACTAGTAGAATATTTATGGAACTGTTATTTAATACGCTATTGAAATGTGAAATGTGATATGTACAGAACTAACTCAGTTTATTAGTATATCTTTTTTAATATCATCACATATGTACTTGTTACAACCGATTGTGAATAAGAATATTCTGGATTACCGAACAAATGTAGTTGAAGATCTGCTTTTGTTTTTTAGACCAATGAAATTTCTGATAAAGCTTGATTATAGTTCATATGTTTAAATAAGGAGGGTTTTTTTGTTTGTTTTTTTAATACCTTCTTGAAGGTGTGGTGCTTATTTCCCTGGCACTATGTGCAGATGCCGTCATTGGAAATGTTCAAGAGAAAGCTATGAAACTTCATAATGCTTCTAATTCTGAAATGGTAAATACTCTAGTGTTTTTTCTTCAAATTAGACAGATTTAAAAAATGGTGATACACGTAATTTGATGAAATAATTATTATAACTAGCATTGCATTTTTAAACTCATTTTTACAAAAGTAATACATTCAAACATTATAGGAAGGTAAAAACTAAAACTACAACTAGCAGTGCTAACCGCTTGTTGCATAGTTGACAAATTTTTTCCTCATTGATTTAGTTTTTTATGTATTAAAATAAAATCTTTTGTTATATCCTTTCTCTCATCTCTTTCTAGTGGGTAGTATTTTTCCATGTAGAAGTTTGTAATTTTTATATGGCCCAATTTGTCTTTTCCTTGCTGGCTTCTGGCTAAGTATCATGGTTGAAAAGAGCTTTCCTAACCCTGAGATTTAGAACATTTCATCCCTGTTGCCTACTAGTTTTGTGATTTCCTTTTTTATTAAGCCCTTGATCCAATCTAAAACTTTTTTAAAAGAACTTTTCTTTCAAATGACTACCATTTTTTCTAATATCATTTATTGAATAATCCACTTTCAGCTCATTTTAAATGCCCTCTTTATCATATCACACTCTTGTGTGGCATTCAGAATTGTATTTGAATTTATTTTTGCAATAGTACATATAATGACAGCAGCTTTATCAGACATTTATTATCTGTTAGGACTAGCTACCATTGTTCCTTTTCTTTTGCAGAATATTACTACCAGTAGTTATTCTGGGGTGTTTATATTCCCAAATAAACTAAAAATCCCATTGGTATTGTGATTGGTATGGCATTGAATTATAAATTAATTTAGGGAGAATGGCATCTTGATTATTTCAGTCCAAGAATAAGGTATGACTTTTCTTTTACTCAAGTGGTCTTTTTTTCAATGTCCATTAGAGTTTAAAGTTTTCTTCATGTAAATCCAGCACATTTCTTATTAAAGGTATTGTTAATAATAACTTATTAAAGTTATTTCATCTTTTTGTGGTTATTGCAAATAATATCTTTCTGTATCTCTTGTAACTGTTTTTTTTTTTTGCAAGTAGTGTCTTTTTGTATATCTTGTAACTGGTTTTTATATAGGAAAATTATGTGTGTGTATGTGTGTGTGTGTGTGTGTGTTTACATTAATTTTATAACCAACCACCTTGCTGGACAGAAAGAGCATACTGAATTAAGGATAGACAGGACTATTCTTTCCTGTTATTTTCTTGACACAGAATGGGGCAACTTAGGTAGTCTCTAATAACACAGGAACTTGGTTAAGAATTTTCTTCATCATAATCACTACTCATTGTAGATAAGGTAAGGATGGGCACAGAGAGAATTGAGGGAGTGTAGGTTGTTAGAAAGTTAATATAATGCAGTGTTTATGATGGTAGGCTCTGGAATAAGATAGCTCAGTTCATATCCTGGCTTTACTAGCACTCATTTGGGGAAAATTACTTAATATCTCTAAGTTATAGTTTCTTCATCTGGAAATTGGATTATGATAACTAAGAATACCCATATCTAGGGTGGTTGTGAGAAGTAAATGGAATAATCCGTACCGAGCTTCAACACAGTACCTGACACACAGCAGATATTTAGGTTTGCTGCTGCTGCTGCTGCTGCTGATTCTGTTTATGAAAAGCATAGTAAATTGGGATTAAAAGGTTGGTTGGAAAATAGAGAAGTTAAGCAGTAGATATGCCATATGCTGCTTATTTTCATTATATTTTAATGTATTTTAGAAACTTAATTTTTTTATGTTTTATAAGTATCTTTAAAGCTTTTTGTTTTGTTTCATTTATTTTTTTTAGAACTCTAATATGAAAATCTGGTTGATTTCAATAATTAAGCCTAGAAAGAAATGAATATGTAAGCATATATGAAAGGATTAATATTACTAGGTGTTATTTTGTACATAAAATGAGGCATAGACTTATAAAACATTAGAATCAAATAACATTTCTGGAAATTTAGGCCATATTGAAATTATAATGTTTCTTTTAAAATGTTTGTTCTGCAAACCTAATTGAGCCATAGAGTTAAAACCCTTAATCTTCCATTTTCAGTTTCATAGTACTTTTTTCTGCTTTATTTTTATCTGCTCTAGGTATTGTATTCGTATTCAATTGGTTTTGTATACATTTTACTGGGATTGACATGCACTAGTGGATTAGGCCCTGCAGTAACATTTTGTGCAAAGGTAAACACTAATCACATTTAAAAAAAAAAATCTTCTGTTAAATAATTTTCTCTAAATTTCTCATTTCCCTTGTTCAAAAGAGGCTATCATAGATATAATGATACCTCCTTTAACATAACATGCCAATCGGAAATTAATTTCAGAAATGAAATGACTGATATTTAAATTTATTTTATCCTTGCTGTACCCTATGAGTTGATTTTTAAGCTGTTCATAATGTAGGAAAGTTGAGGATCTTTAATTTCAACATTTTTTTTTCATTAAATCAAAATAAGAATCTTTGCTTGACTGCATTGTCAAACAACTTATTGCTCAAGAAGTTGATTAACATCTGTAGTTTTATTTTATTTGTAATACCTCGGAGTTTGTTTTACATTTTTCTAACAGGCTTTTTTATTTTTTGCAGAATCCAGTTCGGACCTATGGTTATGCGTTCCTTTTTTCCCTCACTGGATATTTTGGAATCTCCTTTGTTCTGGCTTTGATTAAAATTTTTGGTGCACTTATTGCTGTAACAGGTAGGAGGGATTTACTTGCTTTGATTATAAAATAAGCATTTACATTTTCTCTGATGCTCTTTTTCAAAACATAAGGGCAACATCTCCTTTATATTAAAAAGAAAATTATCATATTTCACCAATTTATTCTTTGGCTTATGGTGTTTCTTTAGAATTCTAAAGAAAATGTTGTTTGATCTTAATTTCTTATTTTGATGGTTTAATTTTAAAATCAAACATATACATTTATCAGAACAGTAACCCTTAAACGCATTAAAAGAACTTTCTATAAAATTATGATGAGATGACGACCTCCAAAGAAAGTACTGCCTTTATATGCTTTTAACCTGTAACTGAAACTTTCAGTTTTGTTGCATTTCAAGTATGAGAGGTACACTTTAAATAAGCTTTTTAGGCCTTTCATTTGTACATTTTCTAGGACATCAACCAGATTAGCTTCCCTTTTCACCAATAAGCACTATGCACCTGCTGTGTGCAGGGTCTTTGCTTGGCCCTGTAGAAAAATCAGTTGTATTTGTTCTGCTTTGGAGGAGTGTATAGCCTAGTGAGGGGAACAGATGAGTCAATGTGCCACCTGTGTCATCTGCCAAAACTCTAAGGCACAGCTTTTGCCTTAGAGGTACAGGCAGGAGTTTTCCTCTCTCACGTAAAAGAAAGCCAGAGCTGGCAATAATCATAGCTAATGCATACATAGCCCTAGTATGTACCAGACACCATTATTTTAATCTCACAGCAGTCCTATAAATTAGGCACTATGATTATTCCATTTTACAGATGGATAAACTGAGGCACGGGGAGGTTAAGTGACTTGTCTCATAGTCAACCAGAGCCAGGTTCCAGTGATGGCAGTCTGGCTGCACACCTGTGCTCTTCACCATACATTATACTGCCTCTAAGCTGGTATGGTGACTCCATGGTCATGAGAAACCCATGTTCTTTCTGTCCACTGTGCCATCTTCATCCTCATGCTATGCAGTGGGATGGAGTAAGAGAAGATGAAAATCCTAAAAGCCATACTCCGAGAAACAGCACTTCTGCTCACATTTCACCATAGCCTAGACACATGACCACACCTAGTAGCAGGAGAAGAGGGAACATATACCCAACTCAAAATAGGGGTCCTTTTACTATAGAAAGAAAAAAACAGACATTTGGAATCTGACTCTGGCACGTTTCCAGAACAGCTTCTTCCTTTGGAATTCATTCATTCATGCATAAATTACTAAGTGCCAGGAACTGTAGAGTCTTGGAATATACAGATGAATAAGGCAAGAAACTAAGTAAAGCACATAGTCAAGTGGGAAGATGGCAACCGATAGTGCAGTGAGGAGGAAAGTACTGTCATGGAGATCTATGCAGATCTCCCCACTCTGCCTGGGACAGAAGGGAGGAAGGCTTCCAGCGTTACAGCAGACTTCAAAGTGTAGTACTTCAAAGGACAGGGAAAAGTTAATACAGTTGCGTAAAGAAGATTGTAATGGTTACTTATAGTCTTATCCAGAGATGACCCCTATTAAGATATGAGTATATCCTTTAGATTACTGTTTCTAAAGAATAACCCCTGCCTCTAGCTAATCATAGCTTCCATAGGAAAGCCTTTCTCTAAGACTTAAACTGTGGCTTCGTAATACCATAGCCTCCATCAAGTACTTACTACAGTTGTACTTTAACATTTAACTGTATTAATTATTTAATGTCTGTTTCCCTACAAGACTAAACTCCATAGTAACAGGGAACAGTGACTTTTGTGCGTGTGTTTGGTTGGTTGGTTTCTACTTTCCATTGTCACCTTGGCACCTCAACAGATTCTGGCATATAGTCAGGTCTAAATATTTGCTGAATAAGTGATTTCTAAAATATTGTCAAGATAATAGGCACATTCTAAACTAATTTTTTGCTCCTACAGTGACAACAGGAAGAAAAGCAATGACCATTGTACTTTCGTTTATATTCTTTGCTAAACCATTCACGTTTCAGTAAGTACTTCTTAATTAAACAATTTTTCTCAGTTTTTAGATACTGTGTTTCACATTTCCTCTTAATCTTAATTTCAACTTTTCTACTTTTTCTTTTTTGTAGTAAGTGTATTTATTTTTATATAAATTAATGTGGTTTTTTTTCCTGTTATGCTTTATAAAGAAACCTTTTCATCTTGATCTCTTAACTATCAGTGTGTCTTCTGCTATTTTGGAAATGTTGGTAATTTATTATTTTGAATTTATCATTTTGTATACTTAAATTGCCTAACCAGAGTCCAGTGCAAATGTGACCTGTTTCCATTATGAGTGAATATGAGTGATGTGTACGTTGTTGAGATTAAGGGATTCCCCTTTGCCCTACTGCAAATATGTAAATTATGTATTTACATCACATGCTTTAAAAAAATACTAGTTTATTTGATGCCTGTTTCCACAAAGGATTTAAGGTAGAGAAATATTCTGTAAGTTACATCCTAAAGACTTTAAACTAAGCTTTTATTTTTTGTGTGTGTGAAAGTGTTTACTATCATATTTACTGTCTTTACTATTTGTTTGACATTAGCACCATTTAAACTTATATTGGTCAGGATTGTGAAGTTTCAAACCCAGAACTTAACAATCTATAAGTTTGGAGGGAAACATAAAATTAATTTCCATCAATATATTACAGATTATTATTTGTCTATAAACTAGTTTTTCTTTCTGTATGTACTAGGTATAATACATAATAGTGTTATGTCATACATAAATATAATTATAATGATTCCCCTACTTTCTCAGGGATGTTTCTCTTTTTATTCCTTTATATTCTACCCAACTGAGACAACGAGTTGGACAGCTGAGTTTAATTACCAAAATGGCCTTTGGTAGATATACATGTCCAAAGCTTTAAGTGTACTTTTACGACTTTTGGTAGGGGACTGTACTTTGAATATACTGTTATCCCCAAAGTTCAAATGAACTATGTCATATAAAATTTTGTAAAATATCTTTCTTTATATCTACTCAATGCATTATTAAAAGATACAGAATTCTATCAAATCTCATCTAAGAATACTATTTTTATTTTAATGCTATTATTGTAGGCTTCTAATAGAATTTTACTTCACTGAAGAATTATTATGGACATATTAACAAATTCTGTGGTTAATAGTAAATTGTTATTTTGCTAATTTTAATTTTTTTTCCTTATTTCTTTCTCTTAGGTATGTATGGTCTGGTTTGTTAGTTGTCCTTGGTATATTTCTTAATGTTTACAGCAAAAATATGGATAAAATAAGACTACCATCACTGTATGATTTGATAAACAAATCAGTGGAAGCAAGAAAGTCAAGGACGCTGGCACAGACTGTATAGACAGTGATTGTCCTATTTAAAATAGAATTTTAAGGGAACAATCATCAATTAATTAACTTTCCAAAGGGACTGATAAAAACCAAAGGATCTGGAGGCATTGCTATCCCATTTGTGGACAGATTTCATATGAAGTTGTTTTGCGGTGTCAGCCTTTTCTTCAGAGCATTTGTTTGACTGACTTCCAAAGCAATCAAGAGAGCCACGTCTAGCAGACTTTACAATAAAATGTCAATATGAAGGACTGTAATTCCTAGCAGTTTATTGAGAATTTCACTGGAAATGGACCATGTGTTGCAAGACTAATTGGCTATAATTATATCCTATCAAAGAAATCGATACGTAATAGCAGATTGTTTTATATTCATTCCATTTTGATGGTGTTATTTAAATTGATTCTCTGTTATAAGAGTAAACTGATGAGTTGAAGTCTGGAGAGAATAACATTCATTATAAATAAAATTATTCTGTGATCTTTTTTCAAGATGTGTTAATAGAATTTTGTTATAAAGAGAGAAATGGAAGTTGGAGTAAGGCTTAACATGAACTTTAAAACTTGAGTTTTCTCTGATTTAAAATTATTCTTTAGAGCAGGAGCTCCCAACCACCCAGGCCGTGGACTGGTACCAGTCCGTGGCCTGTTAGGAACCAGACCACGCAACAAGAGGTGAGAGGCTGACAAGTGAGCATTACCATCTGAGCTCCACTTCCTGTCAGATCAGCAGCAGCGTTAGATTCTCATAGCAGCGGGAACCCTGTTATGAACCGCATATGCAAGGGGTTTGGGTTGTACACTCCTTTTGAGAATCTAATGCCTGATGATCTGAAGTGGAACAGTTTCATAGTTTTATCCTGAAACCATCCCCTGTCCCAGTCCATGGAAAAATTGTCTTCCACGAAACTAGTCCCTACTGCCAAAAGGGTTGGGGACCACTGATTTAGAGAAGACATGCTTTAAGTTTTATGTAGAATATAGGCAAGGTAGTAAAAACAGACATCATTCTGCATCATGTAAGTATGTGTAGTAAGAAAAATTTGCTACAGTTTGCCCAAGTAATCCCAAAGGAATCATGATTGGATTTTTTTTAATTGAAGAAAAAGTAATTGATGTCTCAAAATTATAATAAAATAATTATAAAATTATCCTAGTTTTTTCCATAAAAGTAAGATTTAATTTGGAAGTTTGAGGACAAAATAGGATAAATTTAAGAAACACAAGTAGAGTTAGCAAATTTGGACAATATTTTCCGCCTTAGCACATTCAGGCTGCTATATAAAATACCATAAGTGGGTAGCTCATAAACAATGGAAATTTATTTCCCACAGTTCTGATGTCTGGAAGTCCAAGATGGAGGTGCTGGCAGATTTGGTGAGAGCCTGCTTTCTGGTTCACAGAAGGAGCCTTCTCATTATGTCCTTATATGATGAAGGGCCAAACAAGCTCCCTTGGGTGCTAATCCCATTTTCAAGGACTCTGCCCTCATGACCTTATCACCTCCCAAAAGGCCCCACCACTTAATACAATCACTTTGGGAGTTAGGATTTCAACAAATGAATCTCAGGGGGACACAAACATTCAGACCATAGGAATGTTGCATGCATAGTTTTGAGTCTAAATTCAAAGATTTGGGCACTTATTTTTAGCAGTGATTTTTAGAATTGCTTCTATTGTATTTTTTAAAAATACTGTTATTCTTCGTTTTCAATATAAATAATACTGGTTTAAAAAGCTTAGTGCTCTTGGGGACACTGTTTATATTTTGTGAGTATAATATACTTGGAATAGTTAATCTCATTCTTAAAATTCCATTGTATTCTGATGGCTATTTAATCTGTTATGTGCATATGCAGGTACAACAGAGCCTGTATCATGGAGGGGTCCAGCATGAGGAATTCGGACTGGTTTTCATTTGCCCATTTGCTGAAATACAGCCATTGTTTTTTCCCAAGTGGTAATCATTTAAAATTTTTCCTGGCTTAAGATAGACGGGATCTTAATGCATACTTCATTATGCTGCCTTAAACTTTTAAGAAGAAAAGGATTTGTACTTGAAAGAAAAACTTGTCAACTTTCTCAAATCTTTGATAAAATATAAATTTGACTTATCAAAGCCTTATTTTGCCTCTACACTTTCCTAATATTTTACCTCTGTCTCCCTATTACCAACATCATTCCACCCTCCAATTTTAAACAATTCAGCACTGTTTAAAAATCACTAGTTGCCAGTCATACCCTTTAAACTCCATTTCTTTTGTCATTTGCCATTAGATGGAAGTAAACTTTACCTCACTTATTTGTAATGAATAGTCTGAAATGTGGAATGATTTCTGTAGTAAAGAAATCAACATTTGAAAGTATACTGAGAATGGAGGCCTTATGAATGGGATTAGCGCCTTTATAAAATAGACCCCAGAGAGCTCTCTTGCCCTCTTTACACCATGTGATGATACAAGAAGTCAGTAGTCTGCAACCCCGAAGAGAGCCCTCACCTGAACATAACCATGATGGCACCCTGATCTTGGACTTCCAGTCTCCAGGAACTGAGAAATAAGTTTCTGTTGTCTTAGACCCCCAGCCCATGGTGCTTTCTTGTATCAGCCTGAGCAGCCCAAACTAAGACAATGCATGAGGAAGGGTTTCTAAGTAAAGAATTTGTGAGATATTTGATTGAGACATTAGTTAAATATAGGTAGATGTGTTTGTTTTAAGCAGTATGTAGCTAGAAACTGTTTCTTCAGCTGTATTTACATTAGGTGCCTGTCAGTAGGTACTCACTAAATACCTGTCATGCAAGACTAATCAAAGAACAAGCACCAGTAGAACAAAAATATTCTGGAGAAATGATGTTCTAAATTCTGCCATATTGTGTTTTATTTTATGGCATAATATTCAGTGCAACAACAACAACAACAACAACCAGTAGATCTAACTGGCCAGCTTCTGTGGATCACTATGTTAAGATTGGCCTAGAAGTAAGCCAGCCAAGCCAGAATTCTCAGTACAACCATGTTGCATAACAAGGAGTTTGGCTGACCATTGTCCCTGGTTCTTGGGAGGGATCCTATAAGTCCTTGGAATTTTCCAATTGATAGGAATGTGGTTATTCATGGTTGGTCCCTAGATAGTTTCAGGGTTGGGGCTGGCCATGCTGAGAAGTCTAAGGATGTGACCGTGGGGTTGGGGCTTTGAGCCATGTCATATCTGCCCAACATTCAGGGATGGAAGGGAAGCTGAAGATTAAGTTTAGTCACATGAACAATGATTTAATCAGTTAGTCCTATGGGCTACATGGTGAAACTCCAATAGAAACTGTACACTGAGGTTAGAAGAGCTTCCCTGGTTCATGACACACATGGGTGTTCCAGGACAGTGATGGTCCTCAGGACACAAAAACTTAGTGTTTGCAAGCCTCCCAGACCTTGCCCTATGGATCTCTTCTTTCGGCTGGTCCTGATTTGTATTCTTTATAATGAAATTGAAAGTACAATGCTTTCATGAGTTTTGTAAGGCATTCTCATGAATTGTTGAACCTGAAAGGATAATGAGAACCCTTGAATTTGCAGTCAATTTATCAGAAGAGTGAATGGCCTGGGAACCCCAAAGCTTGCAACTGCTCTCTGAAGTGAGGGCAGTCTCGTGGAGAGTGTGTCCTTCACCTGTGATGTGATGGTTAATACTGAGTGTCAACTTGATTGGATTGAAGGATGCAAAGTATTGATGCAGGGTGTGTCTGTGAGGGTGTTGCCAAAGGAGATTAACATTTAAATCAGTGGGCTGGGGTAGGCACACCCACCCTTAATCTGGTGGGCACCATCTAATCAGCCACCAGCAAATATAAAGCAGGCAGAGAAACGCACAAGACTGGCTGGCCTAGCCTCCCAGGAAAAGGTGAGACTGGCCTAGCCTCCCAGCCTACATCTTTCTCCCATGCTGGATGCTTCCCACCCTGGTACATCAGACTCCAGGTTCTAAAGTTTTGAGACTTGGACTTGCTCCTCAAGCTTGCAGACAGCCTATTGTGGGACCCTGTGTTCATGTAAGTTAATACTTAATAAACTCCCTAATATATATATATATATATTTCTATTAGTTCTTAATAGAAATATATGTATATTCTATTAGTTCTGTCCCTCTAGAGAACTGTGACTAATACAGATTTTGGTACCAGGAATGGTTCTAGAGGAATAGAATATTAAGGATGGAGTTCTTTCATTGGTTTTGGGGTTTCTGGGGTTGGCTGCTTAATATGATTAAACCCAAAAATGCTAAGGACTCTACTTCCAATAGTATGGAGAACACTGATAGTCCTTGTGGCCTGAACTGTTTAAAGAGTTATGCAAAATAAATGCATTTGACACTCCTGATTCACCACTCATGAGAGGCAAGGAGTTTAGTGACTCTATACATAATACCTTTGACCATATGTGGAGAACCAAGGAACATAATGAAGCTGGTTGATTACTCCTAAGTTCAGTGGACAAAGTAATGAAAGAAAATGATGAACTCAGGGACTGTGTCTCCTGGCTTCAGAAGCAGATACTGAGCCTCAAATCTGCTAAGATTGCACTGAGTCAGAGTCTTTCTCCTGTGGAGATAGAGCTGAAATTGTGGAAAAACAAACACAAGCTTTTATCATGTGACTGGCTGACCTGCAATGAAAAGTGCATGCACAGCTTTGCCAGGTGTCTACTGTTAAAGTGAGGCATTAATTGGAAAAGAATGGGATCCTGCAACTTGGAATGGAGATGTGTGGGAGGACCTTGATGAAGCTGGGAACACTGAGTTTGTAAACCCTGAGGAACCTTTTTTGCTACAAGGAATAGCTTCCCCATCCCCAGTAGCGGCAACATCTCCTCGCTGACCCAGGCTGCCATCAGTGTTTCCACCTTTGACTGAGGAAATAAGTCCTGCACTGCTTGAGGCAAACAGTGATGGCCTCCCTTGAGGCAGTTGCCAGGCAAAATAATGTTGATTCTCCTCTGGAGCCACCCCCAATACCCCTGTTTGCTTCTAGACCTATAACTAGAATAAAGTCCCAGCGGGCCCCTAGAGGTGAGGTTGAGAGTGTGACCCATGAGGAGGTGTGCTACACTCGAACTGTTTTGAGTTCTTTAATTTATATAAACAGAAATCTGGAGAACAGGCATGGGAATGGATATTAAAGGTATGGGAAAATGGTGGAAGGAACATAGAGTTGGATCAGGCTGAATTTATTGATTTGGGCCCACTAAGTAGGGACTCTGATTTTAATGTTGCAGCTTGGGGAGTTAAAAAAGGTTCTAGTAGTTTGTTTGCTTGGTTAGCTGAAATATGAATTAAAAGATGGCCCACTGTGAGCAAGTTGGAAATGCCTGATCTCCCTTGGTTTAATGTAGAGGAAGGGATCCAAAGGCTTAGAGAGTGTGGGATGGTAGAGTGGATTAGCCACTTTAGACCTACTCATCCCAGCTGGGAGGGTCCAGAAGATACACCCTTGACCAATGCCTTGCGAAATAGATTTGTGAGGGCAGCACCTGCATCTTTGAAGACCCCTGTAATTGCTCTTCTCTGTATGTCAGATCTGACACTGGGAACCGCAGTTACTCAACTACAAAATTTAAATACGATGAGAATAATTGGATCTCGAGGTGGCAGGGATCCGTAATGGACAGCAGAGACAAAGCAACAATCAGAATAGTCTGACTCATGTAGAGCTGTGGCATTGGCTAATTACGGTGTTCCTAGTAGTGAAATTGATAGGAAGCCTACTGCATTTCTAGTTAATTTATACAAGGAGAAAACTTCTAGATCGAATGGATAAAAGACTAATTTGAATTATAAAAACAGAGAATCACGGCCCCTCAATCAATTTCCAGACTTGAGCCAGTTTACAGACCTAGAACCCCTTGAATGAAGGGGAGGCCAGGCCCCCTTGAGGAAGGACCCCACTACATACCAACAATTTATGCAGTGAGTCTTTCTCCCATCCTTCCCCAAGGAGACCTCTGGCTTTTTACCAGGGTAACTGTGCACTGGGGAAAAGGAAATGATCAGACATTTCTGGGACTACTGGACACTGGCTCTGAGCTGATGTTGATTCCAGGGGGCCCAAAACGTCATTGTGGTCCTCCAGTTAAAAGTAGGAGCTTATGGAGATCAGGTAATTAATGGAGTTTTATAAAGCTCAACTCTGACAGTGGGTCCAGTGGGTCCCCGGACTCATCCTTTGGTCATTTCGCCAGTGCCAGAATGCATAATTGGCATAGACATACTTAGCAGCTGGCAGAACCCTCACATTGGCTCCCTGACTGGTAAGGTGAGGGCTCTTATGGTGGGAAAGGCCAAATGTAAGCCATTAGAGCTGCCTTAACCTAGAAAATTAGTAAATCAAAAACAATGTCGCATCCCCGGAGGGATTGCAGAGATTAGTGCCACCATCAAGGACTTGAAAGATTCAGGAGTGGTGATTCCCACCACATCCCCATTCAAATCTCCCATTTGGCATTTGCAGAAGATAGATGAATCTTGGAGAATGACAGTGGATTATCGCAAGCTTAACCACGTGGTGACTCCAATTGCAGCTGCTGTACCAGATGTGGTTTCATTGCTTGAACAAATTAACACATCTCCTGGTACCTGGTATGCAGCCATTGACTTGGCAAATGCCTTTTTCTCCATTCCTGTCCGTAAGGCTCACCAGAAACAATTTGCTTCAGCTGGCAAGGCCAGCAATATACCTTTACTGTCCTACCTCGGGGTATATCAATTCTCAGGCTTTGTGTCAGAATCTTATTTGGAGAGACCTTGATTGCTTTTTGCTTCCGCAAGATATCACACATGTCCATTACATTGATGGCATTATGCTGATTGGATCCAGTGAGCAAGAAGTAACAAACACACTGGACTTATTGATGAAACATTTGCATGCCAGAGGATGTGAAATAAATCCAACTAAAATTCAGGGACCTTCTACTTCAGTCAAATTTCTAGGGGTCCAGTGGTGTGGGGCCTGTGGAGATATTCCTTCTAAGGTGAAGGATAAGTTGCTGCATTTCCACCCCCCCACACTCCCCAACCAAGAAAGAGGCACAGGTCCTAGCAGGTGTATTTGGATTTTGGAGGCAACACATTCCTCATTTGGGTGTGTTAGTCTGGCCCATTTATCGAGTGACCCAAAAGGCTGCCAGTTTTTAGTGGGGTCTAGAACAGGAGAAGGCTCTGCAACAGGTCCAAGCTGCTGTGCGAGCTACTGTGCCACTTGGGCCACATGACCCAGCAGATCCAATGGTGCTTGAGATGTCAGTGGCAGACAGGGATGCTGTTTGGAGCCTTTGGCAGGCTCCCATGGGTGAATCACAGCAGAGGCCTCTAGGAACAAGGCCCTGCCATCTTCTGCAGATGACTACTCTCCTTTTGAGAGACAGCTCTTGGCCTGTTACAGGGCTTTGGTGGAAACTGAATGTTTGACTATGAGTCATCAAGTCACCATGCGACCTGAACTGCCTATCAAGAACTGGGTGCTTTCTGACCCATCTAGCCATAGAGCAGGTCGTGTACAGCAGTATTCCATCATCAAATTGAAGTGGTATATATGTGATTGGATTTGAGCAGGTCCTGAAGGCACGAGGAAGTGGCTCAAATGCCCATGGTCTCCACTCCTGCCACCCTGCCTTCCCTCCTCCAGCCTGCATCGATGGCCTCATGGGGAGTTTCCTATGATCAGTTGACAGAGGAAGAAAAGACTAGGGTCTGGTTCACAGATGGTTCTGCAGAATATGCAGGCACCACCCAAAAGTGAACAGCGGCAGCACTACAGCCCCTTTCTAGGACGTCCCTGAAGGACAGTGGTGAAGGAAAAATCTTCCCAGTGGGCAGAACTTCTAGCAATGCACCTGGTTGTGCACTTTGCATGGAAGGAAAAATGGCCAGATGTAGGATTATATACTGATTCATGGGCTGTAGCCAACCGTTTGGCTGGATGGTCAGGGACTTGGAAGAAGCATGATTGGAAAATTGGTGACAAAGAAATTTGGGGAAGAAGTATGTGGAGGGACTTCTCTGAATGGTCAAAAACTGTGAAGATATTTGTATCCTATGTGAGTTCTCACCAACAGGTGACCTCAGTGGAGGAGGAATTTAATAATCAAGTGGATAGGATGACCCGTTCTGTGGACACCACTCAGCCTCTTTCCCCAGCCTCCCCTGTCATCATGAACAAAGTGGCCACGGTGACAGGGATGGAGGTTACTCAGGGGCTCAGCAACATGGACTTCCACTCACCAAGGCTGACCTTTCTATGGCCACTGCTGAGTCCCAAATTTGCCAGCAGCAGAGACCAACACTGAACCCTAGATATGACACCATTTCTCAGAGTGATCAGCCAGCTACCTGGTGGCAGGTTGATTATATTGACCCCTTCCATCATGGAAAGGGCACAGGTTTGTCCTCACTGGAATAGACATTTACTCTGGATATGGGTTTGCCTATCCTTCACGTAATGCTTCTGCCAAGACTACCATCCGTGGACTCATGGAATGCCTTTCCACTGTCATGGTATTCCACCCATCACTGCCTCTGACCAAGGCACTCACTTTACAGCTAAAGGAGTGTGGCAGTGGGCTCATGCTCATGGAATTCACTGGTCTTACCATGTTGCCCATCTTCCTGAAGCAGATGGATTGATAGAAGGTGGAATGACCTTTTGAAGTCACAATTACAACACTAACTAGGTGACAATACTTTGCAGGTCTGGGGCAAAGTTCTCCAGAAGTCTGTGTATGCTCTGAATCAGTATCCAATATATGGTACTGTTTCTCCCATAGCCAGGATTCATGGGTCCAGGAATCAAGGGATGGAAGTGGAAGTGGCACCACTCACCATCACCCCTAGTGATCCACTAGCAAAATTTTTGCTTCCTGTTCCGGCGACATTACGTTCTGCTGGCCTAAAGTTCTTAGTACCAGAGGGAGGAATGCTGCCACCAGGAGACACAACAACGATCCATTAAACTGGAAGTTAAGATTGCCACCTGGACACTTTGGGCTCCTTCTACCTTTAAGTCAATAGGCTAAGAAGGGACTTACAGTGTTGGCTGGGGTGATTGACCCGGACTATCAAGATGAAATCAGTCTATTACTCCATAAGAGAGGTAAGGAAGAGTATGCATGGAATACAGGAGATCGGTGCCTCTTAGTATTACCATCCCCTGTGATTAAAGTCAATGGGAAACTACAACAGCCCAAGCCAGGCAGGACTACAAATGGTCCAGACCCCTCGGGAATGAAGATTTGGGTGACTTCACCAGGAGAAAAGCCACAATCTGCTGAGGTGCTTGCTGAAGGCAAAAGGAATACAGAATGGGTAGTAGAAGGTAGTCACCAATACCAGCTACGACCACATGACCAGCTACAGAAACGAGGACTGTAACTGTCATGAATATTTCCTCCTCCTTTTGTTAAAAACATGTTTATGCATGTATACACTTGTACTAAGAAAATATCTTCATTTTATTTCCTTTTCCTTTATCATGTGATGTAAGATTATTGACTTCATATCAGCATTTAAGTATTGTTAACTTTATGCAATAGTATTTGGGTTGGGGATTGGTGCATTTCCAGTTGTATGAAGGATAGTTGTATTATGTTAGGCATAATTATGACATTATTGTCTTTATTTGAAGATTATGTATGATCTCAGGAGATGTGTATGGGTTCAAGTTGACAAGGGGTAGACTTGTGATGGTTAATACTGAGTGTCAACTTGATTGGATTGAATGATGCAAAGTATTGATCCTGTGTGTGTCTGTGAAGGTGCTGCCAAAGGAGATTAACATTTGAGTCAGTGGGCTGGGGAAGGAAGACCCACCCTCAATCTAGTGGGTACCATCTAATCAGCTGCCAGCAAATATAAAACAGGGAGAAAAATGTGCAGGACTGCCCTAGCCTCCCAGAAAAACGCGAGACTGACCTAGCCTCCCAGCCTACATCTTTCTCCCATGCTCTCCTGCCCTGGAACATCAGACTCCAAGTTCTTCACTTTTGGAACTTGGACTGTCTCTCTTTGCTCCTCAGCCTGCAGACAGCCTTTTGTGGGACCTTGTGATCATGTAAGTTAATACTTAATAAACTCCCCTTTTCATATATATATAATATATAAATATATATTATACATAAATATATATAATATACTCATATATATAATATACATATATATTTTATATATATATATATATATATATATATATATATATATATATATATATATATCCTATTAGTTCTGTCCCTCTGAGAGCCCTGAGTAATACATGTGACATTTGACCTAACTCTGGGTAGTTAGGATCAGAATTGTACTGCAGGCATTATGCTTGTTAGCTATCATTAAAGAACTATTAGCATTGTCTGAACTGTTATCAAATGCTTTTAGTTTTCCCAAGTGTTTTTTACCTTAAACCTACTTTATATTCTAGATTTTGAACCCACTTTACATTCTAGATTCTTATTTGATCAGTAAGCCTAAAATTTTAGTAAAACTTGACCAGTAATGGGCCAGTAATGTGGCTTAGCACACTGCAAATATGTATGCATTACAAAATCACATTTACTCTTATATACATAGTTGCAAACACTAGTTTCCATGTCCTTATGATGCATCACCCTCCTGGTACATCCATGTGTTCAAGCCAGGGAAGCTCTCCCAAGTCTTGGTATATGGTTTTTATTGGAGTTTCACTATACAGCCCATAGGATTGATTAAATCAGTGGCCATGTGACTGAACTTTATCTTCAGCTGTCCTTCCTTCCCCAGAGGTTGGGTTGGTATTGCATGGCTCAAAGTCCCAAACCTCATGGCTCAAAGTCCCAAACCTCATGGCTCAAAGTCCCAAGCCTACGGTCACATCATTAGTCTTTCCAGCATGGCCAGCCCCAACTCTAAAACTAATTACATGGTTATCAAATCATCAGGTTATACATTGTGACACTCAAAACCTTTGCTGTGTGTTTTCTTCCTGATTAAACACTTGATAAGTTTTCTGTATTATGTGTTTGAGCAAAAATATTTTACATTTTCACTTATTCTGCTTTATTGTCCCTATTGACTGTCCCTATACTTGCCCATTGAACCAGCTGTCTTAACATTTGTAAACAGCTAATGTAGCCTCACTGATATGACTGCTCTATTTTTACTATAATGTCATTTATTCATTCATCTTCACTGGGCCAAATATGAGCCAGGCATTATACTAGATGCTGAGGATGCAAAAAGAATAAACTATAACCCGTACTCTTGAAAAACTTCCAATCTATGGAAGATTTGCTATGATTGTTATATAAAAACACATCACATTAACCCTAAGTTTTCAGAATATTTCGCCATGGTGGTAGTACTTCTAAAACCTCAGTGTGCACATGTACCACCTAAGGATCTAGTTTTTTAAAAAGAAAAAACAAAGGATTTGAATTCAATAGGGTTGGGTGGGGCATGAGATTTTGTTCTAACATACTTCCAAGTGATGCTAATGTTGCTGGTCCATGGACCATACCTGGAGTGTCTAGGGTGTAGCATACAAACTTTCAGAAGTTTTCAATATCAGGACATCTGAAATTATCAGAATAATTTTCACCCAAGTTTGTTCCATTTGCTTTTCAAACTTCACATTCTCGGTGGCCTGCCCTAGCAAACTGAACAGCAATCTTATGTTGGAGAGTTGCTGGCATAAGCAGAAAGAGTTTTTTAATCATTGTAGGTGTTTGAAAGATTTAATATTCATGACTTTCTCTATAAATGTTACCTTTTTAAAAATCTTCATGAAAGTAAGATAAACCTGTAATTCTCTTCCAGTCATGGTCTGTTGTTTTAATTTCATGGCATGTAGTTAAGATAGTTTTTATGCTATTTTGTAGTGACATTATGAAGAAAATGTTCACATCAATGATTTACTGCTGTTTCAGAATGAACTGTGAATTACAGGGGTTTAGGGAAGTAGGTCTTAACACTTAAGGGATTCTTCTGAGTCTAATCACAAAAATGTGTTTTATTAAATATCTTAATCCTATGATAACCCCCCACATTTCTAAAACATAATTAGACCATTTTAATCAGTTTTTACACAATTGATAAGATTTAAATAGATAAGTAAAGAAATGTGGATAATTTTTCACTATAGAAAATAATAGCAATAAGACTTTGGAGTCTGATTATTCTAGATCTCATTATAGGGCTCTTCCCCAATTATTTTTCTCCTAGTACCAGTTACAGTGACAGAAATAAAAAGCAGATCAATTAAAATGTTTATTGTGTTTCATTTCTGACTCAACAGTGTATAAGCACTTAGGAATTGGTTGGGGCACTTAGGAATTGATTTTTTTCATACATTCCAAAATTCAATGATAGATAGACCTCAATTGTAATTGTTTAGAATAATTTTTGTATATAAACCAGAGACATTTCATAAACACAGGTAATCATCTTTTTCTCTAGTTTCTAACTATATTTTAATTGATGATGTTGGTCTACAATATCTGTGTTAAGCACCACAGAATCATAAAATCTCAGGACTGTTTGGATGCTTGGCCACCTTTCTTTAAATCAAAGAAGACATTTGAAATGTCTGCTCTTAAGAAGGTTTGATCTAACAGGGTGAGGCTGGGGGAATTTACTGTAAGATGTGTATGAACCATAGCTAGTTTGAATCATCCATAGCCAGTTTGAGTCATAGAGATGTCCATCTCTAAACAACTGGAGTTATGCTGGATTCAGGAGAAGCATAGAACCAGGTGTGCGGCTGCACTGTTTACATAGGTGATTGATTAGGCCTAACTAGGTCCATGGCTAGGGCACCAGTAAGAGTGTAGATTCACAGGCTGATAGTCCCACACTGAATTAAGAGATTTATTGTTTTAAATGTCCTAGCTATTTGGTAAATTCTGCAAGCTAATCTTACTAACATACACTTTATTTGTTCAGTTATTTCTTAGCAGTTTGCCATTCTCATAAAACTGAAGCGTGGGTAGTGATTTTTTTTTTCATAATTCTAAGGGGTTATCTGTTAACACAGTTTCTAGGAATATCTAATAGTTTGATTATTTTTTCTCCTCCACCTCTGGGACTCCTATACATGTTGGCAGTTCTACTTTCATCTACATATCCCTAAGCTATTCTCTTATGGTTTCCATCTCTGCTGTTTCTTGCTGCTTCTGAGAGAGTTTCTCAGTCTGGGCTTTCAGTGTACTAATTTGTTCATCTGTTCAACCTGCTGTTTATCTCCTTTGTCATGGTCGTGTTTTTTATATTTCAACCCTTATGTATTCAGACCTAATATTTCTACCTGGATTTTTAAAACGATTTATTGGTTTTGCTTTATGCTACCAGTATTGTTCCTAATTGTGTTATTTTTTATCATGGTTATTTTAAATTCTTGGACTCTCTTCTAATCATTCTGTTTTCAATGGTAGATATTTTTCAGTTGTCTTTTTTTTTTTTAACAGTAATTACACACTTTAGCATAGCCATTGGCAGTTTCTCTCCAAGCCTTCTCACTGCCTTCTGCACCTTGCTGCCTTCTGTGTTTCTAGTCTATAACTCCAAGATTAAAACAGCCTCAGTCTCCCCAGAACATCTCACTTTTGGTATTGTTTTGTTTTTTCCTAGAATTCACATCTGTCTGTCTGAATCAGTATGTCTGTCTTCCTCTCTCTCTCTCTCTCTCTCACTGTCTCTCACCCTCTCTCCTATCCTTTCTCCCTACCACGCCACCCTCCCCCATCTCCTAGTTCCTCTAGGATTGTTTTTGGAAGAAACCAGCAGCCTATCCTAGCTCACCATCTTGACAGGAGCCAAAACTCATTAAAAGAGAATTTCTCCCAACTCTTTGTCTTAGTGATTTATACTACTAATGATTCTCAGATTTGCCTTTCTAATACAAATGAAAACTTGCTGGCCGCTATCTTGATGCAATCTATTTCAGAAATATTGGTTCATTTACCAGTTTTAATTGGTAAAATTCAAATTTTGGAAGTAAGATTTGTAATGTTTTATTACAAATCTAATTACTAATTTAAATGTAATTTTGAAATATTTTACTAACTTAAATATAGATTTCAAATCTTCTAGGAGAAGACTAACAGAAATATAAAACAGAATTCAGTCCTAAAATATGTCTCATATTATGGCTAATTAGGTAAGATTGTTTTTAATACATAGGCATAATTGTTTGTGATAGGAAAACTTCACCATAAAGCTTTGATTATTTGAGATGGTACCAATTAGTATACTTTGTAAAATTTCCTAATTTTGCTATTGTCTAATGCATATCATTTGTACAAAGTGATTTGAAACAGGCAGGGAAGCAGTAGTTTGTATTTTGAAGACATGGAAACAGACCTCAAGAAGACAAGTGATGTACCCAAGGTTCACACATAGTAAATGGCATAATGCACCTAAATCGGTTTCTTTGACTCTGATGCCTAGCTGATAACCCACCACTCCTCAACTCCTGCTCTTTCCAGCCACAACAGCACCAGGTTAGGACTGGCATCCTCTCCAGCTGTTTGTGTCCTCTCAAAATCCTGACACTGCCTTCCTTCTCAGGACCATGTAAAGGGAGCAAGACTTTTTCCAAGGAAGGACTTTTGTGGACACTCCTGCTGTCATACTTACTAACCCACCTAAGAAGATTAGCATCTTGAACCAGGCTTTAAGAGAATGCACAGAGGTGAAAGAAGAAGGGATTTCCTGCCTGACATCCCCAGTCAGCCAAATCGACCTGTGCTTGAGTGAGATGGCCTATATAGGTAGACACTTCAAGTCATCTACCAGCAGGTAATGGGACTCAACCATAAAGAGAGGTGTTGAAACGGGGCAACTGGGAGTAAGGGATAGAATCCAAGGACCAGTCAGGATTTTACGTTGAATTAAAGTGAGATACTTTGTAAAGCAGCCAAGGCAAATGTAGTCAAGACAGAGAGGACATCACTGGAAGTACAAGGCAAGACAGAAGCTTAATCTTGGGGAAAAAAAATAGAGTGTAGGCGTCAAAGTCAGAGAAGAAGCAAAGGGAATCTGGCTTGCTTAGCTGTGAACTCCTAGGTCATTTTGTCTCTCTTAGCAAGAGATCCAGTTGGGACTACAGATGGTCCCCAATTCACTGTGGTTCAACTTTTGATTTCTTGGCTTAATGATCAAGAATGTGTGAAAGCAACATACATTCTGTAGAAACTGCACTTCGAGTACCCATACAACCATTCTATTTTCACTTTCAGTACAGTATTCAATAAATTACACTGACTATTTAACACCTTATTATAAAATAGACTTTGTGCTATATGACTTTGCCCAACTGTAGACTAATGCAAGTATCTAAGCACGTTTATGGCAGGCTGGGCTAAGCTATGATGTTCCGTAGGTCAGTTGCAGTAAGTGCATTTTCAAATTAGGATATTTTCAACTTATGATGGGTTTATAAGGATGTAACCTGTCATAATTCGAGGAACACCTATAAACTTAAAGCTGGAGCAGGGATTAAAAATAATTAACACTGGAAATTTTTAAAATATGGGATCTAAGTGCCAGATCAGAAGTTGTACTTAAGGATTTTATGTGCCTCTCCTGTGTTAGCTGGAAATGTCACCACAATAAGAAAGAGGAGACTCTAGAATTAGGAAGAAATACTTCTGAATTACTGTCAGTAATATGATAACAGTTAGCATAAATTGCTTGATTTTACTGTGCTTCACTCACCACACTGAAAATGGGGTGATTAAAAATACCTTCTTGATAGAATTGAGTTTTCTTCTTTATGATAGTTTTGTTAATAAGTGATATGTAATTTGAAATTATAATATTCAAAATTCAAATTCCATGATCCTAAGCCTTTCTAAGCATACAACTTTGCTTATGAATAGACAAGACTGTTCAAATGATGTGGCTATAATAGCAGAAGGCTTTATTATGACCTTATGAACAGACATTTCCTGGATGGCAGAGCACTATCATAAAGGGTCCAGCTCTATTTCTATGTGAGTGAACACAAGTCCACTCAATAGTTCCATCTAAACTAACTCTTTCAGAAGGGTTAATAGTAACACTCCATGGACCCACTTGACCTCTCCACTTAATTTTGAAAAGTATGAATTATCCACTATTGTAGCAACCACTGAGAAAATCATAAGCTTTCCTTTCCATTTTTTTTCCTGTGACAGCCATTGACCAAATATGTATTGAGCAATTTGCAAGTCTCTTCAGAGATATGTAAATACATATCTATGTTTATGAGATAGATTATATATCTGCCTCACAACTCCTTCACTTAATTATCTCAAAGTTTAGTGAGAAGCAGGCATAGAGTTATGGTGCGTTAATTTCTATAATGTGAATGTATATGAAGTGTAATAGGACTATTCTGAAAGACTTTTTCTAAGAGGTAGCATTTAAGCAAGTCCAGGTAAGACATCGTGAGGATCTAAATACACACTCAGGCATTGGAGCTGGTGAGGATGGAACCAATAATAGGGATATCTAGAGGGTAATTGATAGGGAGGGGATGAGGGAGAGGAAGCATCTTAGAATGACTTTTGCAGTTCTGACTTGGAAAACTGGATGAATGTTACTTGCTGAGATACACAATTCAGGAGAAAGAGTGTATTTGCTGTTGGGGAGAGCAAGTTGAAGCATAGTTTGGACATGACTGAGTTTAAAGTCTTACTTTGGAACCTCCAGATGAACAATTTCAGAAAGCAATGATAATATGTAGTTTGAGAGGCCTGGGAATCTGGATTCGGGAGTTAAAATAATGAGCATGAGTAAGATTGTCAATGTTGTTTTTTTAAGTGAAGAGAGTGTTTACAAAGCCTGAGGAACACTGATGTTTAGTGGTGAACAGAGCAAGAGGGACCTGCACAGGGGCTGAAAATGAGAAGTCAGAGAAGGAGAAAAGCGTGATCTCAAGGAGCCAAAAGAAGGAGAAACAGGTCAAAAGGGAGGAAGTTGTCAGTGCCGTTTTTGAGATACATGAAAAAATTTTTAAACATGATCAGCATAAAGATGGATTTATAACAATTAGATTTCTTTACTGACCCTAGATTCTTTATAATGCAAACAAATATTTACCATATTCTAATTTTTTCTTTAATTACAAAATAGAATTTTTGAAAAAGATAAAAATGTATTTTATACTAATCATATGTGAATTCAAGATATTTAAAAAGAATATAGACTTTCTGTACAAACAGCCCTAATTTGAATTCCAGCTTCATAATTAACCTGGAGCAAATTAGTTACCTTCTCATTTTCTTCATCCAGAAAAATGGAATTAGCACACCTTTACAAGGTGATTTTGAAGATCAAACAAAAAATGCACATAAAAGAACAGCCTATTTTTTATAAACATTTATTATGTTTTAAGCATCTATTTTAAGAAGTGAGGAAAATATTCAGCAAATGAAGCCCAAAGAAAGCAGAAAGAAGTATGTAATAAGAGCAGAAATTAAATAGTAAATAAAAATATACAATTAAAAAAATTAAGGCCAGGCCCAGTGGCTCACCCCTGTGACCTCATACTTTTGAGAGGCCAAGGTGGGAGGATTGCTTGAGACCAGGAGTTTGAGACCAGCCTGGGCAGCATAATGAGACCCCATGTCTAGAAAAAATAAGAATTTTTTTTTTTAAATCAGCAGGGCACAATGGTGTATGCCTGTAGTCCCAGCTCCATGGAATGCTGAGGCAGGAGCATCATTTGAGCCCAGGAGATCAAGACTAAAATAAGCTGTGATTGTGCCACTGCACTCCAGCCTGGGTGATAGAACGAGACTCTGTCTCAAACAAAAAAAAAAAAAAAAAAGAAAAGTTGATTTTTTTTTTAAGAATTAAAATTAATAAACTTCTGGGTTGTCTGATCATGAAATTAAGAAGATAAAAATGTGTAGTATACCTGAAATGAAAAAAGGATATTACTGCATGTTCTATGAACATTTAGGAAGAAGAAAAGAATATCTTAAAGCATTTTATGCCAATAAATTTGAAAATTTAGATAAGAACAACTAATTTCTACAAAAATACAGTCTACCAAAACTGACATAGGAAAACACAAAATTTGAATAGTTCCATATATGTAAGTACCTACAAAAAAACCTACTGTAAGCATGATATTTAATGATAAGTTATAGAAAGTATTTGGTTTGATTTCAGAAATAAGTGTGTATTCCTGTTACTAGTACATTTATTCAACATTGTACTGGAGGTCCTAGCCTGTACAGAAAAAGCCAAAAAACAAGGAAGAAAAAACAACTGCAAGGAAAAAAAAGTATATTCACAAATGACACAATTATGTACACACAAAATCTAAAGCAATCTACAAATACACTATTAAAATTAAAAAGAGGATTTAGCAGAGTCTCTCAATATAAGATCAATATGCAAGAATTGTATTTCTTTATATAGCAGCAAACAACTAGAAAAATTGAATATTAAAAGTGATTCTAGGCTGGATGCAGTGGCTCATGCCTATAATCCCAGCACTTTGGGAGGCCGAGGCAGGTGGATCACCTGAGGTCAGGAGTTCGAGACCAGCCCAGGCAACATGGTGAAACCCTGTCTCTACTAAAAATACAAAAATTAGCCGGGCATGATGGCGGGCGCCTGTAGTCCCAGCTACTCAGGAGGTTGAGGCAGGAGAATGCTTTGAACCCGGGAGGCAGAGGTTGCCGTGAGCCAACGTTGCACCATTGCACTCCAGCCTGAGTGACAGAGCGAGACTCTGTCTCAAAAAAAAAAGAAAAAAGTGATTCTATTCAAAGTAGTATTAAATATCATGAAATTCTTTGAAATAAATATAAGATGTGCACAATCTCTGCCAGTAAACTATAAGTTATTGAGCAAAATTATAGAATCCCTACATAAATGAAGGTATATTCATGTTCATCTACTGGCAGTTGCAATATAGTAAATTGTCATTCCCAAATGATTTATGGATTCAGTTCAAGTCCAGCATGCCTGTGTACGTATGTGTATATGAGAAAATAAGCTGATTCCAGAATTTATAAAGAAATGAGAAGTGCTGAAATGGCCAATGATCTCTTAAACAAAATAGGTACCACCATATATCAAGACTTGTTATTGGCTCCAGTAATTAGTGCAGTGCACTATGGCACAAGAAGAGACAAATAGACTGTTGGAACAACATTAAGAGCTCAGAAACAAATCCACACACACAGGGACATTTGATTTGCCTCAAAGATGGGACTACAGATAAGCAGGGAAACTTTTTTTTTCAATAATTGATGTTTGATGGGTTAGATATGGAAACTATGGAACTTGGCCTAAACTTATAAACTACATATGAAAGGTCAAACAGTGGCTTTCACAAGATATGAAAGGTAAAACAGGCTCTGTGGGGAGGGGAAGTTATTTTGAAAGGAGACAAAAAGCATTAATATAAAGGAGAAGATTGACAAACTATATTACATTAAAATTAGTGAATTCATCTAATCATGAGAAAACATTGGAGAAGTCCAAACTGAGGTTTATTCTCAAAATACCTGACCAGTACTATTAAAGTGTTAAAGTCAGGAAAAATAGGAACTGAGACAATTGCCACAGATTGAGGGAGACTAAGGAGACTGAGCGCTGAACGCAGCATGGTATTCGGGATTGGATCCTGGAACAGAAAAAGGATAACAGCGGAAAACCGGTATAATCTGAATAAATTGTATTGTTTATGTAACAGTGTCGTACCTATATTAATATCTGAGTTTGATAAGTGTTAGTTATGTTTGATAAATGGTTATGGAAGGGGTTAACATTAGAGGAAGCTGGATGGAGGATATATTGGAGCTCTCTGTACTCTTTTCTACTCTTCTGTAAATCTAAAATTAATTCAAAATAAAATGTTTAAAAATTTAAAAATCATATTCATCAAAAGACACCATTAAGAAAGTAAAAAAGCAAGCCACAAGTAGGAGAAGAAATTTCCCATACATGTCATCAAAATGAACTTGTATCTAGAATACATAAAGAGCCTCTACAAATCAATAAGGACAGCATAATACAAAAGTTGGGAAATGACTTGAATCCTTTTACAAAAGAGGATAGCCAAATAACCATAAACATTTGAAAAGACTCATTATGCTTCAGTGATAACCCCAAGTAAAAATCTACTACAATCTTACCACAAAGGCTAAATATTGACAATTCTCATATGCTATTAGAAGTGCAAATTGCTATAACCAGTTCAGAAAACTATTCAAC